>NC_000013.11:81006397-81159237 GCF_000001405.40 Homo sapiens
TCTAAGTAGGACTTCCAGGACTGTGTTGAAGAACAGTGGTGACAGTGAACATCCTTGTCATGTTCCAGATCTTACTGGAAAGGCTTTCAGGTTTTCCCCATTCAGTATAATAGTAGCTGTGGGGCTTATGTACGGCTTTTATTATGTTGAGAAGAAAATTTAAAAATTTCTTGAAACAAATGATAATAAAAACACAAATACCAAAACTTATGGAATTCAGTAAAAAGTAATACTAAGATGGAAGATTGTAGTTATAACTTCCTTCATCAAAAAAAAGAAAAACATCAAATACACAACTTAAAGGTGCATCTTAAAGAGCTAGAAAAGCAAGAGCAAACCAAATTCAAAATGAGTAGAACAAAATAAATACTAAAGATCAGAGTAGAAATAAATTTGAAATAAAGAATATAATACAAATAATCACTGGTCATTCAAGATCATATTTTTTAATTTCCATGTGTTTGTATAGTTTCCAAAATTCCTTTCATTATTGATTTTCAGTTTTATTCTATTGTGGTCAAAGAAGGTGCTTGATATTATTTCATTTTTTAAAATGTTTTAAGACTTACTTTGTGACCTAAAGTATGGTCTATTCTTGTGAATGATCTATGTGCTAAGGAAACAATGTCTATACTGCCGCCATTGGATGGAATGTTATGTAAATATCTTTTTGTCCAATTTGGACTACAGTGCAGATTAAGTCTGATGTTTCTTTGTTGACTTTCTGTCTGGAAGATCTGTATAATGTTGAAAGTGGGGTGTTGATATCTCTGGCTATTATCATATTGGGGTCTATCTCTCTCTTTAGCTCTAATAATATTTGCTATATGTATTTGGGTGCTCTAGCATTGGGTCCATATATAGTTACAATTGTTATTATTTTCTTTTTTTTCTTTTTTTTTGAGATGGAGTCTCGCTCTGTCACCCAGGCTGGAGTGCAGTGGTGCGATCTCAGCTCACTGCAAACTCCATCTCCTGGGTTCATGCCATTCTCCTGCCTCAGCCTCCCGAGTAGCTGGGACTACAGGTGCCTGCCACCACACCCGGCTAATTTTTTGTATTTTTAGTAGAGACGGGGTTTCACTGTGTTAGCCAGGATGGTCTCAATCTCCTGACCTCATGATCCACCCGCCTCGGCCTCCCAAAGTGCTGGAATTATAGATGTGAGCCACCACACCCGGCCGTTATTATTTTCTTGATAAATTGATTCCTTTATCATTATAGTGACCTTCTTGTTTCCTGGACTTTTTGTTTTGAAATCTATTTTGTCTGATATAAGTATAGCTACTCCTGCTTTATCTTGTTTCTGTCGGCATGGAATAGCTTTTTCCATCTGTTTATACAGTCCATGTGTGCATGCATAGGTAAAATGTAGGCAACAGATCACTGGGTATCTTTTTTAAAAAATCCATTTAAACACTCTATGTTGTTTGATAGGAGAGTGATATGGTTAGGTTCTGTGTTCCCAACCAAATCTCTTCCTGAATTTGTAATCCCCAGGTGTTGAGGGAGAGACCTGGTGGGAGGTGATTCGATCATGGAGATAGTTTTCCCCATGCTGTTCTTGTGATAATGTGTGAGTTCTCACAGGATTTGATGGTTTTTTAAGTGTTTGACATTTTCTCCTATACACACTCTCTCTGTCTCTCCCATCCACAGTGAAGAAGGTGCCAGCTTCCCCTTCTGCCATGATTGTAAGCTTCCTGAGGCTTCCCCAGTCAGGTGGAACTGTGAGTCAATGAAACCTCCTTTGTTTATAAATTACCCAGTTGCAGGTAGTATTTTTATTGCAGTGTGAAAATGAACTAATACAGTAAATTGTTATCTCAGAAAGTGGGGTACTGCTATGAAGAGTGGGTATCCAAAAATGTGAAAGCGACTTTGGAACTGGGTATCAGGCAGAAGTTGGAACAGTTTGGAGGGCTCAGAGGAAGACAGAAAGATGTGGGAAAGTTTGGAAATTCTTAGAGACTTGTTGAATGGTTTTGACCAAAATGCTATTATGGTCAATGAAGTCCAGGCTGAGGTTGTCTCAGATGAAGATTAGGAAGCCCCCACACAGAGTTCCCACTAGGGCATTGCCTACTGGGGCTGTGAGAAGAGGGCCACTGTCTTCCAGATCCCAGAATGGTAGATGCACTGAGAGTTTGCACCATGCACCTGGAAAAGCCACAGACGCTCAATGCCAGCCATGAAAGCAGCCGTGAAAGCAGCTGTGGAGTCTGTACCCGGCAAAGGCATAGGGGCAGAGCTGTCCAGGGCCATGGGAGCCCACCTCTTGCATCGGCATGAACTGGATGTGAGTCATGGGGTCAAAAGAGATTATTTTGGAGCTTTAAGATTTAATGACTGCCCCACTGGGTTTTGAACTCATATGGGGCCTGTAGCCTTTGTTTTGGCCAATTTCTCTTATTTGGAATGGGAGCCTTTACCCAATGCCTGTACCCCCATTGTATCTAGGATGTAACTAACTTGCTTTTTTACAGGCTAATAGGCAGAAGAGACTTGCCTTGTCTCAGATGAGACTTCAGACTATGTACTTTTGAGTAAATGCTGAAATGAGTTAAGACTTTGGGGGACTGTTGGGAAAGCATGATTAGTTTTAAAATGTGAAAAGGCATGAGATTTGGGAAGGGCTGGGGCAGAATTATATGGTTAAGCTTTGTGTCCCCACCCAAATCTCATCTTGACTTGTAATCCCCAGGTGTTGAGGGATAAACCTGGTGGGAGGTGATTGGATCACTGGGGCGGTTTCCCTCATGCTGTTCTCATGATAATGCATGAGTTCTCATGAGATCTGATGGTTTTATAAGTTTGACATTTGCTCCTACAGACACTCTCTCTGTCTCTCCTGCCACCTTATGAAGAAGGTGCCTGCTTCCCCTTCTGCCATGATCGTAAGTTCTCTGAGACCTCCCCAGCCAGCGGAAACAGTGAGTCAATTAAACCTCCTTTGTTTATTAAATTACTCAGTCTTGGGTAGTGTCTTTACAGCAGTGTGAAAACGGACTAATACAGAGAATTTAGTCCATTTACATTCAATGTAATCAATAATAAGTAAGGAATTACTTCTGCCATTTTGCTGTTTGTTTTCTGTTTGTTTTGTGGTCTTTTCTTCCTTTTTTCTTTCCTTCCTGTCTTCCATTTAGTGAAGGTGATTTTTCTCTGGTTTTAGAATTTGATGTCTTGCTTTTTATTTTTTGTATCCTTTGCATGTTTTCACATTTGATGTTAACATGAGGCTTGTAAATACCTTCTTATAACCCATTATGTATGCTGATAACAACTTAACACTCTTTGCATAAACAAACAACAAATAGAAAACTAATAAAAATTCTACATCCTATATCCCCCACTTTTTAGCTTTTTGTTGCTTTTACTTATATCTTTTTTTTTTTTTTTTGAGTTGGAGTCTCACTCTGTCTCCCAGGCTGGAGTGCAATGGCATGATCTTGGCTCACTGCAAGCTCCGCCTGCCGGGTTCACACCATTCTCCTTCCTCAGCCTCCCGAGTAGCTGGGACTACAGGCGTCTGCCAAGCCTGGCTAATTTTATTGTATTTTTAGTAGAGACAGGGTTTCACCGTGTTAGCCAAGATGGCCTCGATCTCCTGACCTCACGATCTGCCCACCTCGGCCTCCCAAAGTGCTGAGATTACAGACGTGAGCCACCGTGCCCAGCCCACTTTTCCTTATATCTTATGGTACTATTTTTGCCTTGAAAAGTTATTATGGTTATTATTTTTGATTGGTTCAATGTTTATTCTTTCTACTTAACAGTAGTTTACATACTGGAGTTACGTATTATATTATTCTGTATTTATCTGTGTACTTACTATTACCAGTGAGATTTGTATCTTCAGATAATTTCTTATTGTTCATTAATGTTCTTTTCTTTCTAATTGAAGTACTCCCTTTAGCATTCCTTATACGATGGACCTGATATTGAAGAATTTCCTTAGCTTTTGTTTGTCTGGGGAAGTTATTTCTTCTTCATGTTTGAAGGCAAGTTTCACCACATGTACTATTCTAGGATAAAAGTGGATTTCCTTCAGAATTTTAAACATATCATGGCATTCTCTCTTGGCCTGTAAGGACTTTCAGACATTTCTACTGAAAAGTCTTCTTAAGTTATATTGGAGCTTTATTATATGTTATTTGTTTCTTTTATCTCGCTGGTGTTAGGACCCTTTCTTTATTCTTGATCTTTGGGGATTTGATTATTAAATGCCTTCAGGTAGATTTTATTATTAAATGCCAACTGCTTGGTGGTCAATAACCCTTTTGTATTTCAATATTGATATCTTTCTCCAGGTTTGGAAATTTCTCTGTTATTGTCTCTTTGAATAAACTTTCTAGCCTTCTCTTTCTACTTCCTCTTTAAGGCCAATAACTCAGATTTGCCTTTTTGAGGCTATTTTCTACATCTTGTAGGTGGGCTTCATTGTGTGTGTGTGTGTGTGTGTGTGTGTGTGTGTGTGTGTGTGTGTTTTGGCTCCTCTACGTATTTTTAAATAGCCTGTCTTCAAGCTCACTAATTCTTCCTTCTGCTCAAACAATTCTGCTATTAAGAGAATCTGATGCATGCTATAGCATGTCAATTATATTTATCAACTCAATAATTTATGCTTGATTCTTTTCAATTATTTCAATTTCTTTGCTAAATGTATCTGATAGGGTTCTCAATTCCTTCTTTGTGTTATCTTGAATTTCTTTGAGTTTCCTCAAAAGAGTAATTTTGAATTCTCTGTCTGAAAGGATTGGTCCCTGGTGCCTCCTATAATTTGTTGGTTGAAGTCATGTTTTTCTGGATGGTTTTGATACTTGTTAATTTTTTTAGTGTCTGGGCATTGAAGAGTTAGGTATGTATTGTAGACTTAGCAGACTCAGCTAGTTTGTACCCGTCGTTTTGGGAAGGCTTTCCAGATATTTGAAAGGACTTTGGCATTGAGATCTAAGCAGTATCTGCATTAGGGGAAACTCCAAGCCCAGTAATGCTGTAGTTCTTGCAGAATCATAGGCATAATGGCTTTATGGTCTTGGATAAAACTGAAAAAAATTCTCTGGATCACCAGGCAGAAACTCTTGTTGTCTTTCTTTACTTTTTCTCAAACAAACGGATTGTCCCTCTGTTTTGAGCCATCTCGAGTTTGGGGTGGGATGAAATGAGCACCTCTGTAGCCTCTGCCTCTGAGACTGTGTTAGGTCTGACCTGAAGGCAGCACAGCACTTGGTCTCACCCCAAACCCACTGTAACCACTACCTGGCTACTGCCTGTATTTGCTTACGTCACTGGGCAGTGACGTAAATCAGCAGGCAGTGAAGCAAGCCAGGCTTCTATCCTTTCCTTCAGGATGATGAGTTCCCTTAAGCCCTGGGTGAGTCCAGTATTATCTTCTAGGAGCCAGGGACTGAAGTGATACAGCTTAGAAGTCTACCTGATGTTCTATTTACAGTGCAGCTGAGCTGGTACTCAACTATGGGACACAATTCTTCTCACCCTTTCCTCCTTTTTCCACAGGGAGAGGCACTTCACCTTCTGGTAACCAACACCACAGGCTTATGGGGATTACTGCAAGGTGATGAGAGATGTTCCCTTAAGCCCCAAGTGCTCTTCAGTCATTTTGTGATGAATGCTGTCAGACCTAGGACTCACCCTTCAGTGCAGTGGACTCCTCTCTGTCCCAGGGCAGGTTCAGAAATGCTCAGAAATGCCACCCAAGAGCCAAGGCCTTGAATTCAGGACCCCAAGAGCCTACTTGGTGTTCCGACCTATTGTGGTCAAGCTGGTACCTAGGGTGCAAAACAAAGTCCCCATTATTTTTCTCCAGCAGAGGGAGTGTCTCCTAGTAGCCAACACAGCTGGGATTATGCCGAGTCTCACGTGAAGCCTACATGTCTTGGAGTCTCACCCAAAGCCCACAGCATATGACATGAGTATCATTGCTGATTATTCAGAGCTCAAAGGCTCTTTAGTCAGTAGGTGATGGGTCCTGCCAGGTCTAGATTCCTTCCTGCAGGCAGTGGGTTCCGTTATGGTCAGGATGTGTCTAGAAATATTATCCAGGAACTAGGGCCTGGAAAGGGGGCCTCATGGCTCTGACCAATTTCTCTGGCTACTACTTCCAGTGCTATACTGAATAGGAGTGCTGTTGGATTCAGTTTGCTAGTATTTTGTTGAGTATTTTTTCATCTTTGGTCATCAAGGATATTGGACAGTTGTTGTCTTTTTTTACTGTGTCTTTGCTAGGTTTTAGTGTCAGGGTGATGCTAGCTTTTTAGATAACTTAGGAAACAGTCCATCTTCAAATTTTTTGGAATAGTTGTAGCGGAATTGGTACCAGCTCTTCTTTGCATGTCTGATAGAATTTGGCTGTGAATCCATCTGGTACAGGGCTTTTGTTGATTTATTTTTTTAAAATACTGCTTCAATTTTAGAACTTGATATTGGTCTATTAGGGTTTCAATTTCTTTCTTGTTCAATCTTGGGAGGTTGTGTGTTTCTGGGAATTTATTTTCTCTATATTTTCTAGTCTTTGTGCATATAGGTGTTCATAATAGTCTCAGCATATTTTGTATTTCTGTGAGATAGGTTGTAATGCCACCTTTGTTGTTTCTGATTTTGCTTATTTTAAACTTTTCTCTTTTGTGTTTATCTAGTTATTAGTCTATTGATCTTGTTTATTCTTTCAAAGAACCAACCTTTGGTTTCACTGACCTTTGTATTAAATTTTGGGTCTCAATTTCATTCAGTTCTGCTCTGATTTTAGTGATTTTTTTCTGCTACCTTTGGGGTTACATTGTTCTGTTTTTTTCTAGTTCCTGTAGGTGTGACTTTAGATCATTAATTTGAGATCTTTCTAACATTTTAAGGTTGGTGATTTACACTTTAATCTTTCCTCTTAACACTGCTTTTGCTACGGCCCATAGATGTTGGTATGTTGTTTCTCTATTTATTTCAAATAATTTAATTTCTGCCTTATTTTGTCGTTCACCTAAAAGTCATTCGGGAGAAAGTTGTTTAATTTCCATGTAATTGTGTGATTTTTGAGATTTGTGATTTTTGGTATTGGTTTCTATGCTTATTCCACTCTGGTACAAGAGTATGGATGGCATGGATTTCATTTTTTTTTTTTTTTGTGGAAATTATTGAGGCTTGCTTTATGGGAAACTATGTGTTTGATCTTGGAGTATATTTTGTGTGCAGATGAGAATTTATATTCTGTGTCTGATAGGTGAAGTATTCTGTAGAAGTCTATTAGGTTCTGTTAGCCAAATGTTGAATATAAGTCCAAAATTTATTTGTTAATTTCTGCCTTGAAGATCTCTTTAACACTGTCAGTGGGGCACTGAAGTCCCTCGCCATTATTGTGTAGTTATGTATGTCTTGTTGTGGGTTTAGAAGTAATTACTTTATAAATCTGGGTGCTCCAATGTTGGACATGTATATATTTAGAATAGATAAGCCATCTTGTTAATTGAACACTTCATTATTACGTAATGCTATTCTTTATCCTTTTTTATTATTGGATTAAGGTCTGTTTTGTATGATATAGTCATAGTGACACCTGCTCATTTTTGTTTTCTTTTTCTTTTTTCTTTGAGATAGAGTTTCACTCTTGTTGCCCAGGCTGGAGTGCAATAGCATGGTCTCAGCTCACTGTAACCTCCACCTCCTGGGTTCAAGTAATTTTCCTGTGTCGGACTCCCAAGTAGCTGGGATTACAGGTGCCTGCCACACCCAACCAATTTTGTGTTTTTAGTAGAGATGGGGTGTCACCATGTTAGTCAGGTTGGTCTCAAACTCCTGACCTCAGGGGATCCACCCTCCTTGGCCTCCCAAACTGCTGGGATTACAGACGTGAGCCACCGCACCCTGCCTTGTTTTCTTTTTATGTGGTAGATTTTTTTCTCACTGTTTACATCAACCCATGTGATACAGGTCTTTTGAAAATAGAAGATGGATGGGTCTTGTATTTGTATCCATCCTGCCACTCTGTGCCTTTTAAATGGAGGCATTTAGACTGTTTAAATTCAAGGTTAATATTGATATGTGAAGTTTTAATCCTATCATGAAGTTGTTAGCTGGTTCCTCTGTAGTTTCTACTGTGTCATTGCTTCATAGGGTCTGTGGGCTATGTTTTTTAGTATGGTTTTGTGATAGCAGGTTTCATTCTTTTATTTTGACATTTAGAACTCCCTTAAGGATCTATTGTAAGGCTTTTTTATTGGTAACTAATTCCCTTAGCCCTTGCTTGTTGGGAAAAGCAACAAAGCAAATAATCAAATTTCTCTTTTGATTATGAAGTTTAGTTTGGTAGGATATAAAAATTCTTGGATGAAATTTTTCTTAAAGAATGGTAAAAATAGACCCCTAATCCTTCCTGGATTGTAAGATATCTACTGATAAATCCACTGTTAGCCTGTTGGGCTTCCCTTTATACATGATCTAACCTTTTTCCCCTGGCTGCCTTTAAGAATTTTTCTTTAACATTGACTTTGGAGAGTCTGATGACTATATACCTTTGGTGATGTTTGTTTTCTACACTATCTTGCAGTTATTCTCTGGATTTCTTGCATCTAGATACCAACCTCCCTAGGAAGAGTAGGAAATTTTTTTTTGAATTATTTGTTCACATTATTTGTTTGTCTCCTTCTCTTTTGGCAATACCAAATAATTTTTAGGTTTGCTTACTTTGAATTATCCCAAATTTCTCAAAGACTTTGTATATTTCTAAAAATTGTTTTAAAAATTTTTGTCTGATTATATTTGTTAAAAAGACTGGTCTTCAAGCTCTTAAATTATTTCTTTTTCTTGGCCTGACTGTATTAGTTAGAAAGACTTGTCTTCAAGCACTTAAATTGTTTCTTTTTCTTGGTCCAGTCTAAATTGCTAAAGCTCTCAATTGTATTTTGAAATTCCTTAAGTGAGTTTTTCAATTCCAGATGCTCAGATTTATTTCCTTTTAGAATGTTTATCTGTTTCATCATTTACTAGATTGCTTTAGAAGTTTCATCATGTTGATTTTCTTTGTGTTGTCTTGGATCTTTTTGAGCTTCCTTGCAATCCATGCTTCAAATTTTTATCTATAATTTCTCAGTTTCCATTTTGATTACATTGCTGGAGAGCTCTTTCCATCCTTTGGTGTGTCATTACATTTAGATTTTTCATGGTGCCCAAATTCTTGTGCTGTTTCCTTCTCATCTGGGGACATTAACATTTACAATTTTGTAATTATTTTCATACAGGTGAATATTTTATTTTTGTTTTATTCCCTATATATTTTTTTTCTTTTCCTTTCCCTCTTCACTATAGGGTGTGACTCTTGAGAGTACTGAGCAGGGTCTTTTGGCTTTGTTTCTATAGCCCTATGCACGTCTGTCACTAGGTTTTATACTGGGCTGTGCAGTTTGACCTACAAGCCAGTAGATGGTACTTACAGGTAACAGCCAGCTGCAGCCAATGTGGCTGAGTATATACTTGATCTTGTTACTGAGATAATCTCTCTGTTTCCTCAGGAAATGGGCTGATTCATGAAGTACACAGTGGTCTTAGCTCCCTGCTTAGTCTTGGGGGACTGGGGCCAAGATAGGCAGGGCTGGCCTAGGCAGGTTCACCTACAGGTCCCCCAATTGCCAGCATAAGCACCAAAACTGAGGAAGAATTCAGTGGGTGGCCACCAAGCACCCACAAATATGTCTAAATGTGGATTTAGGAAGCCTTTCTGGCCCCAGGTTCTCTGCATTGGGATGGTGGCTGGTCTAAACTCCTAATTTTAGAACAGTGGGTGCTCCAGATGCCTGGAGATCTCCCTGTATATCAAGCATGGAGTCCCCTCCATGCACCAGGATTTCTGCACAGGAAGTGTGGGGTAGCTCAGGCCACTATTTGAGGCAAACAGGTGCTCTAGATGCCTAGAGATGGGCCTGGGTTGGAGTAGAGAGGGCTTCTATGCAAGAAGATTTCTGCATAGGAAGAGTAGGGTGAGAGAGACTGCCAATCCCAGTGAGCAGATGTTCTGAATGCCTGGATCTCTGCCTGGGCTTAGAGCAGAAAGAACCTCACTGCACCATGATGTAAGCCCAGGAAGAATGGGGTATATGAGACTGATGAACCAGTTGAATGATTACTCCAAATACCTGGAGATCTGCCTGGGCATGAAGCAGAAAGTTCCTCCCTGCACCATGATCTATGTCTAGGAAGAGTGGAGAAGGTAAGGCTGTCATCCAGGCAAGCAAGTGCTCTAGATGGCTGGAGGTATGCCTGGACATGGAACAGAGAGAATCCCACTCACCACGATCTACATCTAGGAAGGGTGGGGCGAGTTGGGCTGCTAATACAGCTGAGTGGTTGCTTCAAATGCCTGGAGATCTGTCTAAGCATGGAGCAGAGAGGGCCCCACTATACCTTGATTTATGTCCAGGAAGAGTGGGGCACCTCAGGCTGATGGTCTAGGCAAATGATGCTCCAAATGCCTGAATTTCAGCCTGAGGTTAGAGCAGAGAGGATCTTGATGCACCACTATTTCAGGGGAGCAGGCTGGTAAACCCAGTAATAGCACATGCAGACCAGGTCAGCACAAGCTGACCCTGGTGGCAAGTCTTGCCCAGGCAAAATTGCAGCTGTAGCAGCTCCCTTTTGCCCTAGGTTTCTGATGTGGGAAAGCACAATTCAAAGACATGTTTCATGTTATTTTATCTGTTCTTATAATACTATATTTTATTCTATATTGAATAAGAATGAAAATAGTAAATAATGACTCAATGTAGTATCAATTAAATATTGTAATTAAAATGCTTACACAAGTGATTGACAAAAACAGACACTAAATAAATATTGGCAATTGTTATTTGGTGGGTCCTCACTGAATTTTCAACTTTTGTTCTTTCCTCTAGGTCAGTCTTGTTTGCATTTTGTTTCAAACTGGGTTAACCTAGCAGTAGTGTGCTATTCATTTGAGAACGTAGAAAATAGGAATACACATTCAGTACGAATAATTCCTAATCCTAAACACAGAAATGTAAGATAAATTATACTACATAAACACCACAAGTCATGCCAAACACAGACTTATTTTTGTTCACTGTCGTGACACTAGGGAGACATCTGACTCTTTAGCTCTGTGACACTGACATTTCCGGCTTAGAATTCATTTCCGTTAAAAATCATCTTAATATCATTTAAAATAATATGCTGTGACTTTTGGGATCTGCAAAATTATTACCGGTTAAATATAAAAGCAAGTCCATAAAAATACAAAATAAAATGAATATTGTTTTTACCTGGCAATCCTTTGTGTCTCCACGGCATGTAATTTAGAAGAGGAGGACATGTTCTAACAGAAGGAAAGGGTGCCCTCTAGTGTTTTAGTTAAAAGTGAACAATTAGCTAACATACCTCTCAAACTTATATTTATTAGATTCTCAACTGAAAATAGTCTCTAGAGTAAAGATTAGACTAAAAAAAAATAAAGCTACTAGTAGTATAAGGTGTTAGGAAAACATATGGTATTTATGATGCATTCTTCTTGAGCTTAAACATAGAAAAGTGTAGAATGAAAGATTAAGTCAATCTATCATGTTCTCCTTTTCCATCACCTAATAAATTACAGTTACTCTATCTGTGGAGTTTGCCTCAAGCTTGGAATTGCTAAACATTTATGATAATATTGCAGCTGTCATTGTCCAAAAATACATAGATATGAACATTTTTGTCACAAAATGTTGACTGTATACATTTCCTTCAAACTGATTTTTTCAATATTTTTAGTAATAATTTTAGCCAGATTAGATTAAAACACAATATAAATTACTTTTTATATATTTAAAATACTTCACTAAATATTTTATGCATTTCTATGTCCTATTTTATTAGAATTAATAATAATATAATGTATTGTCAATTTTCTCCCTAAATTGAATATATTTCTCTACAGTTTTCTCAAGAGGGATTTGCAGAGACAGGATGCTATGAAATTACCTCTCCCATGCCCTCCACAGTACTAAGACTGAGGTACCTGTCTACATCAAAAGATGAGTACTACAATGCAGATG
Organism: Homo sapiens; assembly: GCF_000001405.40. Classification (NCBI taxonomy): domain Eukaryota; kingdom Metazoa; phylum Chordata; class Mammalia; order Primates; family Hominidae; genus Homo; species Homo sapiens. Next base: position 81,018,451 of record NC_000013.11, read on the forward strand.
ACTTAGCCAGGTGATTCTTTACCTTTACACCATCTCCTATTATAAGCTGAATTGTCCCCTTCCCCAAATTCATATATTGAGTTTCTAACATTCAGCTCCTCATTTAAAGACAAGATTTTTTAAAAGGTGATTAAAGTAAAATGAGGTCACTGATGTGGGCCTAATCCAATAGGACTGATATTCTTAGAAGAAAAAAGATTAAGACACAGACAGAAGAAAGACCATGTAAAGGCACAAGGAGAAGACAGCCATTTACAAGCCAAGAAGAGAGGTCTCTGAAAAACCAACCCTGCTGGCACCTTGCTCTTGGACTTCTGGCCTCCAGATTTATGAGGAAGTAAATTTCTGTTGTTCAAGCAACCTGAATTGGTTTACTTTCAAATGGCAGCCCCAACAAACTGATAGGTCCGCAGAGTTCTTTTTCTTTCCACGATGTAAACATTTTAAATTCATTTTTTTCAGAAAGCATTACTTCCACCTCAATTTTGAGTTCCAGTAAACAAAACTTAAACATCAAATGGTGATAAACAGTATAAACTTGCATCTAATACATGATAAACAAATATTAGCAATAACTTTTATTAGCTGGGCCAATGGCTTGCTCTTTCTCCGTCATTAAAGTGTCCCCAGTATATCCTCTTTTCTCCTGTTTTCTTCAAAGCCAGACAAATTGGCTCCACTTTCCAGCAAAACAGTGGGTCCATCTGTCAGTAGAGTACAAAAAGAACAGAAAATTCCGTACCTCTAACTATATTAATCCATAGCTACATGCAATTTGCACAATCTCAGTGTGCACATATAATAACTCATATCTTACTTTCACTTATATCTATAAATCATGGTGTCAGGGGAAGCAGACACGAGTAAACCAAAACAGATAAAGATATGTACTCACACATAAATTAAAATTCAAAAATAACTTTTTGATTAAATAGTTCATAATTTGGAAACCTCTTTACTCAGTTTTGATTGTAAAACATAGGGATATCTCAAATAAATTGAGATCTCTATCATTCTCCTATTCATTTGTCATATTTTCAAAACAAAATTATTGAACACCTAATCTCTGCTTCACATTAGTAAATAAAAATAGATAAGTCAAGGAATTAGCATTGGGTTGGTCTTAGAGAAAAGCAAAAGAAGTGTAGTACTTGGTCAGGTAACTCTCTGATGTAAAATGTATTTTCCCCCTGTGTGTTTATCTCTCTCTCTGTATGTGTATTTCCCTAACTAGTTGTAGCCATAACATTAGGTAACATGTATAAAATGCTTAGGAAAGCTCCTGGCACAAATTAAGTATTTAATAAACCAAGATAGTTAACTAATTAGCCTATTTAAATTCCAGTTTCTACATCCATGAAAAGAAGAAAAATATATTTATTTGATGCGGATGTTGTCGGGATTGAATGAGATAATGCATGTAGCCCAAATTTTACATATACAGTTTAATTAATATTAACCCCACCCCCTAAAAAACTGCATATGATATGAACACAGGATGATTTCCACAAATTATGTTAACATCAACTGAAAAATTATTCATTTAATTCTCTTATGCAGTTGATAAACTCTGAAGTCTCAAATATACTTTGAATATAAACAACACTGATTTATCAAGCTTTCTGATTATCCTATGGGATGAGATCCATATCTAATCCTTTAGAAAAGTGAAACTTTGAAAAAGTGTCTAGTTAGTGGTGAAACGGTATTTTGACAAGACAAATTATTTCTTTTTTTGAGGTAAATTTTAATGCTGAATCAGTAGATTTATTGCACTGATTTTTTATTAGTAAAATTATTACATTCAAACTCATGCACAGAGTATTTTACTGAATGACATTCTGTAGTAAGACCTGTTATGAATATTGCCGAGAGACACAGAGTATAATTCCTACTTGAAACTTAAATTATAAAACTCTCAAGGATCTTCTCAAATAACATTGAATAAATCCATGCTGTGTCATTGGAAGGGAAATACTTCCAAAGTATGTTACACTGATTGTCACTGTTAAACATTTTTTTATTTGTGTGTATGTGTAACGGTTGCTTTAAAACTAATTTCAGAATAAATGAAAACCAATACAAAGAATGCTAATCACGAACTTACTTTTACCTTAAAAGTTTTCACAGTTTTTTTTCTCTTTTTTTTTTCAAGTTGGCTGACTAGGGATGTTGGATGCCAGGTCTCCTCAGAAAGATCAAAGTTACAGGTGAATGCCCATGATTTAAATGGAAATCTGAGGGAATGAAGCAAGGACCTGTTGGAGCACCCATGGGAAGAACCTGGGGCACAAAAGAGGAAAGCAGCAAGAGACTGACAGAGATTGTCTCCCTAGAAACCTGGACCACGAAAAGGGTAAGTCATGGCTTCTCTTGTCTCCTCACCTGTGTGACAATCTGATGTTCTCCGAAGTGTTGGGGAGCCCCTCTGCCCTCACAATCCAGACAAGGATGTCAGTGGTGATTTGGGACCTTGCTAAGGACAATAAATTGGGTGGTCAGTTCATGCAGGTATGCCCATAATCCCCTCAGACCCAAATTGAAATGGTAGGTGCCACACTGGTTTTACATGCACTGTTCTCCCCAGGGGACTTCAGCCCTTAGGTCGCCACATCACCAGATACCCCACAAATATAGCCCATGACCTGCTTGGTCTTTGGCAACCATATGGTACCAGCAGATCCTTGAGGAGCTGTGGGTTCCTTAAAGATCTAGCCCTCAGTGTGGGCTGCCCTTAGGTAAGAGGGGAGCACAGCCCTCCAACCTGCCCTTGGGACAAAGGAAACATGGACATGGAGTCAATTGATGAAGGGGGTGGCATTGACTGCTAGAAATAGAAATGAGAAAGAGGTTATCTCCTGTTGCCCCCATCCACTGTTGCAGACACAACAGAGCGAAGGATAGGACCCATCTCCTGCTCTTTACATAAGGCAGTAGCATTCTGTCAATAAAGGGCAGACAAATCACAGAGCTGTCTGTCTGCTCTGGACCCAGGACTTAGCCCCGAACCCTGTTTTGTAGTAGCCACCAGAAGGGCATTTCTTTGGTTCTTGGCTACAGAAAGGAGGCAGAAGTTAATGATTATATGAACTAAAGGTCACAAACCCTGCAACGGGGCCCTGATATGAAAGCAGAGCATGTTCCTCCTTGCCCAGGATAAGTAGCTAGTGCAACACCTCAACCCTGACCCCGAGATCTCAGCATACCCCAACATGCTGATTCCCTCCTTCTCTTATTAGGGTAGTTCCTCCCCTCAATTATCAGGGTCCTGGAGAGTGGGTGGCTCTTACTCTTAAGTGAAACTTACTGCGTGGAATACTGAACTGTACCACCAAATAAAAAGCTGCTGTCTGAAGGGCCCAGTGCTAGTGAATGAGATAAGTTTTATGAGACCTGTGTACTCTCAGCCCTGTGGAAGATAGTGTATCAGCTCATATGTCCAATACATCACTACAGCGAGCAGCATGTGAGAAAACCACAACAGAGAGGGTATCCACAACCAAGAAACCTATATAGAGACTTGGCCCCCTGAAAGCACCCAAAAATGAAGCCAAATAATCATATGCAATACACATCACAGTCATATCCTCAAGGGAAAAAAGAATAAGACATAAAAATTCCATTCAAATGATAGCAAATTACACAAAAAATAAAAGCAACTGCTGCTTCAGATGAGAAGGAATCAGTGTGAAGACACTAGCAGAACAAAAAACCTGAGTGTTGACATCTCTGAAGGAAGACACTAATTCTTCAACAAAGGATCCTAACCAAAATGAAAATTCTAAAATGACAGATACAGAATCCAATAGGAAGCACAATGAGATTCAAGAAAAAATTGAAAATCAAAGCAAAGAAACCGGAAAAATGATTCAGGATATAAAAGAAGAGATTGCTATATTTAATTGAAAAACAAGTAGAAATTCTGGAATTGGAAAATTTACTAAAGAAATTTCAAAATATAGTTGGAAGCTTTACTAAGACTAGACCAAGCAGAAGAAAAATTTTCAGACCTTGAAGATCTGTTTTTTGAATTAACCTAGTCAGACAAAAATAAAGAAAAAAATTGTTTTTAAATAAATAAAACTTTAGAGAAATATGGGATTACCTAAGTTGACCAAAGCTTATAAAGCATTCTTGAGAGAGAAGAAAAAGTAAGCAAATTGAAAAAATGTGTATTTGAGAGAATAATTCAGGAAAATTTCCCTAGTCTTCCCAGAGAGGTAGACACCCAGATACAAGAAATTTAGAGAACACCTGTAAGATAATGTACAAGAAAAACTTCACCAAGACATATGGTCATCAGACTATCAAAGTCAACACTAAAAAAAAAAAAAAATTCTTAAAGGCAGTTAGATAAAAGGGTCAAATCACCTATAAAGGTACACCCATCAAACTAACAGTGGATTTCTCAGCAGAAACCTTACATGCCAGAAGAGATTGTGAGCCTACTTTTAGCCTCCTTAAAGAAAAATAATTCCAGCCAAAATTTTATATCCTGCCAAACTATGCTTAATAAATAAATGAGTAATCAAGTCATTCCCACACAAGGAAATGCTAAGGGCAATTGTCACAACGAGACTGGTCCTACAAAAAATGCTCAGAGTAGTTCTAAATATGGAAGTGAAAAGATGATACTTGCTACAATAAAAGCACTCATAAATACAAAGTACACATACCCTATAAAGCAAATACACTATTGAGACTACAAAGCAACTACCTAAAAACACTATGACAGGAACAAAACCTCACATGTCAATATTAACTTTGAATGTAAATGGCCTAAATGCTCCACTTAAAAGATGTAGATTGGCAAATTGGATAAAAATAAAAACCCAACCATCTGCTGCCCTCAAAGGACCCTTAATGAATAATGACACCCACAGGCTCAAAGTAAGAGAAAAATATGTTATGCAAATGGAAAACCAAAAAGACCAGGCATTGTTATTGTTTTACTATATAAAACATACTTTAAATCAACAACAGTAAAACAAAACAAAACAAAACGTAACAAAACAAATTAAAGAAGGGCATTATATAATGATAAAGGGGTTAATTCAACAAGAACATTTAACTATCTTAAATATATACACAGCCATCACCAGAGCACACAGATTTATTAAAGAAACAGTACTAGACCTAAGAAAAAGAGATAGATAGCTATATACTATAGTGTGGGAATTCAACACCCCAGTGACAACACTAAACAGATCTTTGAAGTAGAAAACTAACAAAGAAACTCCGGATATAAATTAAACTCTTGAGCAAATTGACCTAATATATATCTATAGAACATTCTACTCACCAACTGCAGAATATACATTTTTCTCATCTGTGCATGAAACATTCTCCAAAATTGACCATATACTTGGTCACAAAGCAAGTCTCAATAAATTCAAAGGAATCAAAATCATATCAAGTATTTTCTTAGACAACAGTGTAAAAAATAGAAATCAATACAAAGAGGAACTCTCAAAACTACACAAGGACATGGAAAATAAACAGGTTGCTCCTGACTGATTTTTGGGTAAACAACAAAATTAAGGCAGAAATCAGAAAAAAAAATTGAAACAAATGAAAATATATACACAGCATCTACACAGTAACCCCTGGGATACAGCGAAAGCAACGTTAAGAGGAATGTGTATAGTGCTAAATGTCTATATTAAGAAGCTGGAAAGATCTCACATTAACACAAAAAAATTAACATTGCACTTCAAGGAACTAGAGAAACAAGAACAAACCAAAGCCAAAGGTAACACAAGAAAATAAATAACAAAGATCAGGGCAGAACTTAATGAAATCGGAACCAAATAAATCATATGATGTATCAACAAAATGTAAAGTTGGTTTTTTGAAAAGGTGGTGGAATTGGGTGATCTGAAAGAGGAGATGTAGTCAGCCAACAAGAAGACCTGGGGAAGAATCTCTCAGGTAGAGGGAGAACAAATGCAAAAGTCTTGAGGTGGGCATTCATGAGTGGCTATGAAGGAAGAAACAGGAGCCAGCGTGCCTAAGAAGAAATAAAATTGATGGACCACTGCCTAGATTAATGAAGAAGAAAAGAGAGAATATTTTAATAAGCTGCACCAGAAATGATACCCATGATGTTACAACTGATACCACAGGCATATATGTAAGATTATCATTGACCATTATGAACATCTCTATGTTCACTAACTAGAAAACCAGGAGAAAAAGGATAAATTGCTAGATACAACCTCCCATGATTGAATCAGGAAGAAATTTAAATCCTGAACATAACAATAATGAGCTATGAAGTTGAATCAGTAATAACAAATCTACTCACTAAAAGAGCCCTGTATTAGATAGACTCACACCTGACTTCTACCAGCTATGCAAGAAAGGTCTAGTACCCATCTTACTGCAAGGGTTCAAAAAAATTGGCAAAGAGGGACTTCCTGATACCAAAATCTGGCAAAGACCCAAGAAAAAAAAGAGGAAACCTCAGGCAGAAATCCCAGATGAACAACCTCCAAAAATTTTCAACAAAATACTAGCAAACTGAATCCAGCTGCACTTCAAAAACATAATTCATCATAATCAAGTGCGTTTTATTCTGGGGATGCAGGGGTGTTTTAATACAGATTAATAAATCTGATACACCACTAAACAGAATTAAAAACAAAAACCATATGATTATCTTAATAGACACAGAAAAAGACACATTTGATAAAATCCAACATCCTTTCATGATAAAAACCTTCAACAAACTAGGCATTGAAGAAACATAACTCAAAATAATAAAAGCTGTATATGACAAACCCACAGCCAGTATCACAGTTAATGGGAAAATGTCAAAAGCATTTTCTCTAAGAATTGGAACAAGAAAAAGATGTTCAGTCTCACCACTCCTAGTCAACATAATATCGAAAGTATTAACCGGAGCAATCAGGCAAGAGGTAAAAATAAAAGGCATCCAAACTGGAAAAGAGGAAGTCAAATTATCTCTGTTTACTGATGACTAGATCTACCTAGAAAACTTTACAAATTTCTCCAAAAGCCTCCCAGACCTGACGAACAATTTCAGTAAACTTTCAGAATACAAAATTAATGCACAGAAATCAGCTGTATTTATATGCACCAAAAATGCTCAAGCTGAGAACCAAATCAAGAATACAATCCCATTTAAAATAGCCACAATAAAATTACCAAGCAATTCATTTAACCAAGGAGGTGAAAAACTTCTACATGGAAAGCTACAAACACTGATTTAAAAAATTGTAAATGACACAGACAAATGGAAAAACATCCCATGCTCATGGATAGGAAGAATCAATATTATTAAAATAAATATACTGTTCAAAACAATCTAAAAATTCAAAGCTATTACTATCTAATTCCAATGCCACTGTCAATTCCAAATTAGTAATGAACATAGATGCATGACTGCCCTTCTTAATCTGAGTCATTTACCAGTAATACTGTCATTCTTTTTACTTTCCCCTTAAGCATTTTTCTTAAGCTTTAAATAAGCTAAATTAATCCTGCTTCCCCCAAAGCCATTGTCTGCAATATACTCATGTATTTAGAATGATCATCCCAAGGAATCCCACCTGTTTTGTCTGCTAGTGACATTTTAAAACTCACTCTGAGTGTATCTTCTTGAGATTCTTTTACCCACCACAATTATTTCTCCACTCACTTGATTAAAAAAATAGAGCAAGTTAAGGGCCTTGCATTACTTAATATATTACAGGCTTCATATATAAATGCACTCCCACTATTGGATTCCTACCTCTTACTTTGTCCTCTGTGCCCTTACTATTTTGTAGGGACCCATGAAATTGTACACTTTATTATCATCACCAGAGTTTTTTTGTTTTTTTTAATTTTTATTTCTTTTTTGAGACAGAGTCTCACTCTGTCGCCCAGGCTGGAGTGCAGTAGCGTGATCTCGGCTCACTGCAAGCTCCGCCTCCCGGGTTCACTCGCCATTCTCCCGCCTCAGCCTCCCGAGTAGCTGAGACTACAGGCACCCACCACCACGCCCGGCTAATTTTTGTATTTTTAGTAGAGATGGGGTTTCAACCTGTTATCCAGGATGGTCTCGATCTCCTGACCTCGTGATCCGCCCGCCTCAGCCTTCCAAAGTGCTGGGATTACAAGCATGAGCCACCGCGCCCGGCCTATCATCACCAGACTTTTAATTGTCAAAGGCAAATTGTCTAATTTGCTTGTTCCACAGCATATTAGTCCATTTTCATGCATCTGATAAAGACATACCTGAGACTGGGAAGAAAAAGAGATTTAATGGACTTACAGTTCCTCATGGCTGGGGAGGCCTCATATGGTGGAAGGCAAGGAAGAGCAAGTCAGGTCTTACACGGATGGTGGCAGGCAAAGAGAGAGAGCTTGAGGAGCTCTCTTGAGACTTATTCACTATCATAAGAAAGACCCGCCCCCATGATTCAATTACCTCCCACTGGGTCCTTCCCAGTACATGTGGGAATTGTGGGAATTACAATTCAAGATGAGATTTTTGTGGAGATACAGCCAAACTATATCACTCAGTTTAGCACAAAAGAAAGTAAATAGATCCAGAAGAAAATAAGTGGCAAAATTTGTAAAGGGAAAATGCTATGCTGATAATCTATCTTTATCAACTTTATCAAATTGAATTTCTATGGAATAAATTATCCTTTCTAAGTACACAGTTTAGTGAGATTGACAAATGTGTGCAGTCATGTTATCATGACCACAATCAAGATTTAGAATATTTTCATCATCTTAGAAACTTCCCTCATGCCCCTTTGCAGTCAATTATCTGTAGCCTCTTTTGATCCCAAATGCTACTTTGTTTAATGTGATTATAGTTTGGTCTTTTCTAGCATTTCATATTAAGGAGAATATACAGTATCTAGTCTTTTTGGGCTTGGCTTATTTTACTTAGCATCATGTTTTTGAGATTCATCTATGTTGTGGTGTGTATTAGTAGTTTGTTCCATGTAACTGTTGAGTAGTGTTCCTTTGTATGGATACATCAAAGTTTACTTATCTACTCACCAGTTTGAGGCAATTATGAATAATACTGCTTTGAAATAAAGACCAGTCTTTGTGTGGGCATACGTTTTTATTTCTCTTGAGTAGATAACTAGGAGGGAACTGTATATCAAGTATGCATTTACCTAAAAACAACTAATAAACAAAAGAAAACATAAGAATAGTCAAAAGGTATTTTAAAAGATGCTAAACATCACCAATCATCAGGGAAATGCAACTCAAAGCCACACTGAGATATCTCCTCACATGTTTTAGCATGGCTGTTATCAAAGACACAAAAGATAACAAGTGTTGAGAATGTGGAGAAAATGGTACAATGGTATACTTGTGCATCAGTGTTGGTGCATATATATTCATAATTATATCCTCCTGCTGAATTGACCCCTTCATCATTTTATAGTGACCTATTTGTCTCATCTTATACTTTTTATCTTGAGATCTATTTTGTGTAAAATAAGCATAGCTACTCCTACTACTTTTTGTTTTCTATTGGCATGGAATGTTTCTCAATTTGTTTATTTTCAGTCTATGTATGTCTTTATAGCTGAAGTGTGGTCGTTGTAGGCAAGAGATCACTTTTCCATTTGGCCACTCAATGTCTTGTGATTTGAGAATTTAGTCAGTTTTTATTAATCGTTATTATTGATAAGTAGGGACTTACTCCTGTCGTTTTGTTATTTGTTTTCTGGTTGTTTTTTAATCTTCTCTTCCATCTTTCTTTCCTTCTTTCCTTCCTTCCTTCCTTCCTTCCTTCCTGTCTTCCTTTTATGTTTGTATTTTTTTTCCTGTCTTCCTTTTAGGGGAGGCATTTTTCTCTGCTGGTGTGTTTTAACTTCTGACTTTTTATTTTTTGTGTATCTATTGCATGTTTTTAGATTTGAAGCTTGCACTTATCTTATAGCCCATTATTTTAAAATGAGGCAACGTAATAGTGATTGCACAAATTACCATATAAGCAAAGAGAAAACTAATAAAACCTCTACACTTTAAGTTTGTCTCCTCACTTTTTATATTTTTGTTGTTTTTATTTATATATTACTATGCTGTCTATGCATTGGAAATTGTAGTTATTATTTTTAATGAATTCATCTTTTCATCTTTCTACTTAAGATAGGAGTAATTTATACACCACACTTACATCTTTATAATATTTTGTGTTTTCTGTATACTCACTATTCACAGATAGTTTTGCACCTTCAGAAGATTTCTTATTGCTCATTCACATCTTTTTCTTCGGATTGAATAAGTCTCTTTAGCATATTTTTGTAGGACAGATCTGGTGTTGATCAAATCTCTTAGCTTTTATTTGTTTTGTAAAGTGTTTATTTCACCTTCATGTTTTAAGGATATTTTTCCCAGATATACAAATTCTAGGGTAACCGTTTTTTCCTTCAGAACTTTATGTCATTACTCTCTCTCCTGGCCTGTAAGGTTTTCACTGAAAAGTCTGCTGTAGGTTGTATTGAAGCCCCATTTTATGTTATTTATTTCTTTTCTCTTGCTGCTTTGAGGATCCATCCTTCATCCTTTGGGGATTTGATTATTAAATGCCTTCAGGTAGTTTTCTTTGTGTTAAATTTGCTAGGTGTTCTTTAACCTTCCTGTACTTGAACACTGTTATTTTTCTCTAGGGTTGAGAAGTTCTCTGTTATTGTCCTTTTGAATATAAGTTTTAGCTCTCTCTACCTCCTCTTTAAGGCCAATAACTCTTAAATTTGCCCCTTTGAGGCTATTTTCTAGATTTTCAAGGTGTGCTTTATTCCATTGTATTATTTTTTGTTTTGTCTTCTCCAACTGTGTATTTTCATATAGTGTATCTTCAAGATCACTTATTTCTTCTGCTTGATCAATTTTGCTATTAAGAGAATCTGATGCATTCTTCAGCATGTCAGTTGCATTTTCTTTCTTTTTTAAGTTTTTTTCTTTGAGAAATGGTCTTACTGTCTCACCCAGGCTGGAGTGCAGTGGCATGATGAGGCTTATTGCAGCCTCTACCTCCCAGGCTCAAGTGATCCTCCCAGCTCAGCCTCCCAAGTAGCTGGGACTGCAGGCGTGTACCACCACACTCGGCTAATTTTTTATATTTTTTTTGTAGAGATAGAGCTTCACCATGTTGCCCAGGTTGTTCTCAAACTTCTGTGCTCAAGCAATTCATCTGCCTTGGGCTTCCAAAGTGTTGGGATTGTAGGCATGAGGCACTGTGCCTGGCCATCGATTGCATTTTCAACTCCAGAATTTTTGTTTGGTTCTTTCTAATTATTTCAATCTCTTTATAAAATTTTTCTAATAGAATTCTGAATTCCTTCTCTGTGTTATCTTGAATTTCTTTGAGCTTCCTCAGCACACCTATTTTGAATTCTCTCTCTGAAAGGTCACACATTTCTGCTTCTCCAGGATTGGTCCCTCGTGCCTTATTTACTTCATTTGGTGAGGTCATGTTTTCCTGGATAGTCTTGATGTTTGTGGATGTTCGTTGGTGTGTGGGCATTGAAAAGCTAGGTATTTATTGTAGTCTTTGCAGTCTGGGCTTGTTTGTACCCATTCTTCTTGGGAAGGCTTCCCAGGTATTTGAAGGAACTTGGGGGTTGTGATCTCAGTTTTTGGTCACTGCAGCCTTATCTGCATTAAGGGATACCCCACAGTAGGCAATGCTGTGGTTCTTGCGGATTGTAGAGGTATTGCCTTGGTGGTCTTGGATAAAATCCAGAAGAATTCCCTGGATTACCAGACAGAGACTCTTGTTCTCTTTCCTACCTCCTCCCAAACAGAGTTTCTGTGAGCTGAGCGCCTGGAGATGCCGGAGGGTTGACACAACCACCCCAGTGGTCACCACCACTGGGGCTGCACTCGGTCAGACCTGAAGCCTGCACAGAACTGGATCTCACCCCAAGCTCACTGTAACTATTACCTGGCCACCGCCTATGTTTGCTTAAGGTCCTAGGGCTATATAATCAGCAGGCTCTATCATTAGCCAGTCTTGTTCTCTTCTTTTGAAGAGAGGGGTCTACAGGCAGGTCCAGAGATGCTCTCTGGGAGCCAGGGTCTGGAGTCAGAAACCTTAGAAATCTACCTGGTACTCTATTCTAGTGCATCTGAGCTGGCACCAAAACAACAAGACAAAGTCCTTCCCACTCTCCCATCTCCTTTCCCCAGGCAGAGGAGTGTTTTCCATGTCCAACCACCACAGGCCTTTGTGGAGTCCTGCCAGGGTATTGTCAGTGTTCACATAAGGCCCAAAGACTCTTTAGTCAGCTTGTAGTCAGCAAGTGATAAATCCTGCTAGGACTGTGTTCTTCCCATCAGGGCAGTGGGTTCCCTTCTGGCCCAAGGTGTATCTAAAAATACTGTCCAGAAGCTAGGGGCTGGGATGTGGGCCTCGCAACTCTGCTTTGTACCCTATTCTAGTGTGGCTGAACTGGTATTCAAGCGGCAAAACAAAATCCTCCTTAATTTTATCTCACCTTTCCTCAAGCAGAAGGAAGGACTCTCCTTTGGAGCTGTAAGCTGTGGTGCCTTGGGTTGAGGAAGGGGTGGTACAAGCACTCCCCTGGCCACCCTTGCTGTGTCTCACTAGATCATGTGACTCCCAAGTCCACTGGCTCCAAGCACAGCACAGCACTAGGACATGCCTAGGAGTTGCAGTCCCTGTGGCCTAGACTCCCTTTCAAGTTTATTTAGAGCCCAGACTAATTTAGCCCATGGTGGCCAGCGTTGCTGATACTGAAGTTCTGACTACTGGGATGAGCAATTCTCCTCTTGATAGGGCTGTTCTAAATGTTCCCTCCATGGGCATCAGCTGAGTTCTGCCCAGCACTGTGGGCCTCTGTATTAGCAGCACTGTATTCCCACGCAATGTCCCACAGGTGCACAGAATTTCTGTCAGCACCATGTGGCCACTGCCTAGGGATGGGGAAAGGGTGATGTCAGCAATTCAAGACTGTCTTTCCTACCCTTTTCAGTACCTCTTTAAGCAATATGAAGTTACACCCAGGTGCTGTGATTGCTTACCTGATTTTTGGTTCTCATGAAGGTGTTTTCTTGTGTAGATAGATGTTAAATTTGGTGTTCTGGTGGGGAGGACAATTGATGGAGGCTTCTATTCAGCCATTGCGTTAGTCTCTTCCCACACTGCTATAAAGACATACCTGAGACTAAGTAATTTATAAAGAAAAGAGATTTAGTTGACTCACAGTTCTGCATTGCTGGGGAGGCCTCAGGAGGCTTACAATCATGGTGGAAGGCGAAGGGGAAGCAAGAGAGTGAAGGGGGAAGTGCTTCACTTTTAAAGTATCAGATCTTGTCAGAACTCACTCACTATCATGAGAACAGCAAGAGGGAAATCTGCCCTCGTGATCCGATCACCTCCCACCATGCCCTTCCTATAACATATGGGGATTACAATTTGAGATGAGATTTGGATGGGGACACAGGGCCAAACCATATCAACCATCTCATTCTGCCTCTTGCCTCCACTTCTTACTTTTCAAATTTGCTCTCTTTGTTTTCTGAAACCACATTATCTGGGTTTCTTTCTGATCTCCTGGGCCCTTCTTAGTCTTCTTTAATGCATTTTGTTCTTTTTTCTGAATTACAATGTTGGGGTATCCTTAAGTTCAGTCTTAATCTCTGCCTCTCTATCCACAATCCTTCACTATCAGAAAATAACTAAGTTATTTGTACATTGTACAGTGTACAAACATTTGTACATTGGCAACTCACACATTTCTGCAGCCAGATCTGACTCATAATTTAAGTGGCAGATATTTTTAGCACTCTCTTGATATAACCACTCAAATAACCGCTCTGTATCTCAAACTTTACATATTCAAAGAAAAATTTTGGTTTCTACTTTTGTAATGCTGTTATTTTCCCAAGGTTGTCCCCCCAATAATTACATAATACTTTACTACATATTAGATCATTAATTATCCCTGATATTTTTTCACCTTCACCTCTCTCACAGATTGAATTCATCAGCAATTTCTAGAAGCTTAAAATCCAGAAAACATGCTAAATTCATGCACTTCTGTTCATTTCATACCACTGTCCTTGTTTATATCATTTTCAAAGTACTTCACCTGCTACATAAACTACTTCAATGCCTTCTAACAGATCTGACTGTTCCCACTTCTACCATCTTAATCTATTTATTCTTCATTCAGAGACATCATTATTTTCTAAAGTATCATAATTATTTCATAATTACCCCCAATTAATTTGAGAAACTTCGAAGAAAAAATAACTTGAATTATGTATTATTTTCCTATTTAAGTTTTCCAATTCCAATGAATCTCAACAAGAAAAGTCAGTAATAAAATACTTGTCCTATAATAGGCAATCTCAAAAATTAATTATAAAATAATGTCAAGTTGATGCATTCCTGTCAAAGAAGACTATAAGGAAATATTTGGAAATTCATATTCTATTAAGCTATTTTATTAAGTATAGTATATAATGTTATTTTCTTTTGATTTGTGATGACAATATTTGAACACTAGAAATCATGATTCAGTTGAAAATTTTCTTTTCAATAAATACTTATCCATGTTTTGCCCAAAATGTTATAGCATGACTTTGACAGAAATCCCTTGGGAACATATCAGATATATATATATATATATATAACTCACTTTTCCACAGATAAAACAGTTATGTAAAAACAATTGTTTTTATTTTAATGGTAAGGTTTATTAGAGTTAGAATTTTTATATTACCATGGTGTGAAAATGTTGTTTTTACTTTAACCAAAATGTCAGAGTGTTTCATGAAATTGAACCAATAATGTGTGAACTGTGATAGCTATGGAAAACTAGTTCTTGGGCTGCTAAGGACCATTCTTCTGTCCTTTCAAAAAGGTAAACTACTTCATTGTATACGCCAGGTTTTTATCAAAATTCTTTGCTCCATTTATAACTTTAGCAGAATTATATTTAGAAGGGTACTTTGCCTGAATCTTACCTTCATCCCTAGAAAAATCAGCACATGGGTGCTCATGTGCTCTGCCTGTTTTTTAGAGATGATAAATGTGAGGTGCAACAACTTGCCCCTAAAATTAGAAAGCACACTCCAGACCACTGGACCACAAGCATCTTCGTGGATGTAAAAGAACTTGACTCTTCACCAGTTTTCATCTCCTCTTTGGGAAACATTTGCCTAAACAGAGCCTCCAGGATACTTGTTACTTCCAGCCCAATATAATTACAATTAGTAAAGTATCACCAATTCAATAGTACAATATTCTGTGGAATGCAAGATAATAATGTGCCCAGCAGACTAATTTATGGTAAAGAGCAGGAGAATAAATATTGTCCTGGGGCAATACAGATAATGTGCATTGTCCTGTAAAGACAAACAGGTTTTTATTGTTTTTATTGATGGGGACTGAAGAGAATACATGTGTTAGATCAATAATGACATTACAAATGATAAAGGCTGTGTTGATCTGCTCTGGTAAACACACAACATCCAGCATGGTGGTTTAGGATTATCATAGCCCATTGTCATCTGCCGCAATCCATCTGGTTTTCAAAAGAGAGGCGAGACAACCTATTTTTTAAGTCTTTTAATAAGTTAAGTTGCATTAACTTCTGCAACTCTTTCCAGAATGTGATTTTTTAAAAAATTACTATTTATTCTAGTGGTACAATCCTTCTTGGAACCATTTGTAATTAGGTTCCTTTATAGCCCTGTCGGATCCTGGACTAAATTTTCAGTGCAGTCTTTTCTGTGGCTATAAGAGACAATATATTAGAGTCTGCCCCTAAAATCCATGGATAAGAACTATTGACTTTTCACAGTATGAAATGAGTTGCCCAGTGGCTTTTCTAAGCCCACCTTGTCATTTTGCAAAAATTTCAATGTCATTTCAATTGTCATTGCATTTCAATTCAAAGCTACTGACTTTTCACAGTATGAAATGAGTTGCCCAGTGGCTTTTCCAAGCCAACCTTGTCGTTTTGCAAAAATTTCAATGTCGTTTACAGAAGCCAACCATCTCTAAAATCCATATAATTATCATTGCCATCACACAAGTCAACTGCAACAACCACTGCTCTTTCCAACACTTCAGCTTCTGCCTGCACCCTCTCCCAATTAAACATGTTAAAGCCTCAGTAGCTTTATTGCCACTTTATGACAGAGATTATCACCATCTCACCTCTATAAGCCAATGGTGTCCACATTACCATCAGTCCATTGAATTATTCCACTCTAAAGTCCTATTGAAAGTAACTATTGTTAAAGGTGAATTTATTAACAACTGTCCTAACTGGTGTTGTTAGAAAGAAAAACGTATTTTCTCCTACACCCATTAGCCAAACTCACTCCTTTGAAGCACTAACTGTGCATTAGGGTGCTGAATAGAACCAGGGAATTTTAGAGCTTAGGAGGCAGAAGATATGACATGTGCAAGGCAAGGAACTGTGGGGTTTATACACATAGGTGGAGATCACCTAGAGTTGAAATATATATCAGTTACTGCAGTGAAAACAAAATTACTGAGGATCTCACGGACAGAAGCCGAGAGATTCTGAGGTGGCCCAGTAAAAGTTTTCTGATACATATACTACTCAACAGATTTTAAAATCTCAATCAATCACAATCAAGATAAGTGAAAAGAAATATACATTTGGAAATAGTAAAGTAAAAAAGCACAGATAAAAAAGAAAAGATCATAAAGACACCCTGAGAGATAAGGCTGACTACCAAAGAAGGAACAGCCATTAAAAGGACAATTCCATTTCATGGCAGCATAAAATGCCAAATGAGAATGAAATATCATCTTCCATATTTTTAGAGAAAATAAACTGCCCAGCTTTAATTTTAGACATATAAAAGATCTTTTAAGAATGAAAAATACTTTTAGATCAAGCTTAGGGTATTTGCATTATGGTATCTTCAAAAAGGAAATTCTAAGAGATGCTATTTCAGAACACAGAGAAGTATTTTAAAATGGAAGATTTTAGATAGAATAGGAATAGAGAACAAAAATATAGATGTGTTCAAGAATCCAAAGAAATATTGAGGGTAACATAAAATTAGATTGTCCTATGTAAATTGAAAAGCAAAACTAAAATATAAAGCAACAATAGCATATCAGAAGGGGTTGAAAGACAATGTCCTTGTATTATTATATAAAGACAAAAGTCCTATTATTTTACAGATATTGATTAGTTTTAGGCCTAAGTTACTAATAATTACTAAGTTAATTATTTATACTGCAGTTCTTGAGATAACCATTCAAACTAGAAAAATTGTTCATTATTCCAAACCAGGAGAAAAATATTAAAATAAAATTAGTTCAAAAGAATGAAAAAAAAAGAAAAAGAAATGGGAAAATAGAACACGTAAATGAGTTAATAGGTATAAACTCAAATATGTAAAACAATATGATAATTATCAGTAACACAACTAGTATTTCTAGCAAACATATATTATATATAGTCTTCTTCCAAGCAGGGCTTAGACACTCCCTTTGGAGACTGATACTAAATTTCATGTGTAAGTTACATTTAAAACTCAATTGTCTTCCAGTGTTACATAGCAAAATCACTTTTGCCAACAAACACATTCAGTGCTTTAATCTACAGCTGCCTTTCAGTTACATCCATGAAAAAATATACATGTTTAAAAGTGTTTGCCAAACTTGTATATTGAAAATCATACTATACTCTAAATTCAGGATGGTTATTAGACAAAAATAACACACATCTGGATATGCAAGAACTGGAAGTTAAGCATGCATTTAGTTCAATGGTCTAAATAATAATTTTATCACATACTTGGAATAAAGTAATCTCATACTGTCTGAAGGAAGAGCAAACTGGTAATACCTTCCAGAAGGTGATCAGAAAATGGTATAAAAGCCTTTAAAATGTTCGTGCCCTTCGACTTTGCAATCCTTTTATTGGGATTCTACCCCAATATGATAGAGTTACAAACAAACATTTGTAAAGAATACTATATTGTAATATTCAAGAAACTTTGAAAACTAATCATTCATAAATATCTTACACAAGTTGTATTACATAAGCACCATTAAAAGCATGTAAAATTATATCACATTTTAAAAATATTTAACTATTTAAGTTATAAAACATGCTCCAGTGAAGCACCCAGATATATAAAGCAAATATTATTAGAGCTAAAGAGAGGGATAGGCCCAGATACACTATCTATTGGAGACTTCAACCCTCCACTTTCAGCTATGGAAAGATCTTCCAGACAGAAAATCAACAAAGAAACATTGGACTTAACCTGCACTATAGGCCAAATGGATCTAATAGGTATTTAAAGAACATTTCATCCAACAGCTACAAAGTATACAATGTTTTCCTCATCACATGTATCATCCCTAAGTATAGGTGTTAAGATGTTAGGTCATGAAACAAGTCTTAAAACATTCAAAAAAAAAAAAAAAAAAAACAGAAATAGCATCAAGCATCTTCTCTGACCCCAATGGAATAAAACTAGAAATTAATTACAAGAGGAATTTTGGAAACTATAAAAATACATGGAAATCAAACAATATGCTTCCGAATAACCAGTGGGTCAATGAAGAAATCAAGAAACAAATTGAAAAAATTTATTGCAACAAATAGTAATGAAAACATACTAAAACCTTTGAATTTCTGTAGTTTCAGTTGTAATGGGATATGGCAAAAGCAAAACTAAGAGGAAACTTTATAGCTGTAAGTGTCTACATCAAAAAAGAGAAAAAACATCAAATAAATAATCCAATGGTGCATCTTAAAGAACTACAAAAGCAACAACAAACCAGCCCAAAATTAGTAGAAGGAAAGAAATAATAAAGATCAGAGCAGAAATAAATGAATTTGAAATGAATAAGACAATGCAAAAGATTTATGGCATAAAAAGTTGGTTTTTTGAAAAGATAAACAAAATTGAAAAACCTTTAGCTAGACTAAGAAAAAAGAGAGAAAATACAAAGAAATAAAATTAGAAATGAAAAAGGAGACATTACAACTGATACTACAGGAAATCAAAGCATCATTATGGCTACTATGAGTAACTATATGTCAATAAATTGGAAAATCTAGAAGAAATGGACAGGTTCTTAGATACATACTACTTATAAAGATTGAACCAGGAAGAAATTGAAAACCTGAATAGACCAGTAACAAGTAATGAGATGGAAGCTGTAATAAAAATTCTCCTAGTAAAGAAAAGCCTGGGATCTGATGTCTTCACAGCTGAATTCTAGCAAACATTTGAAGAACTAATACCAATCCTACTCAAGTTACTCTGAAAGATAGAGGAGGAGGAAATACTTACAAACTCATGCTACCAGGCCAGTATTACCCTGCTACCAAAAACCAGACAAAGACACATCATAAAAAAGAAAACTACAGGAAAATATCTCTGATGAATATTGATGTAAAAATCTTCAACAAAATATTAACAAAGTAAATTCAATAATGCATTGCAAAGATCATTTATCATGACCAAGTGGGATTTTCCCTGGAATACAAACATGGTTCAACATACACAAATCAATCAATATTCTACATCATATCAACAGAAAGAATGATAACAATCATGCGATCATTTCAGTTGATGCTAAAAAAGCATCTAATAAAATTCAACATTTTCTTCTTAGTAGAATAAAAGGTCAGAGTATGATAAAAATCCTCAAAAAAATTGGGTATAGGAGGAACATACCTCAAAATAATAAAAGCCCTATATTACAGATCACAACTAGTATTATGCTGAATGAGGAAAAACTGAGAGTCTTTCACTTAAGATCTGGAAAACAACAAGGATACCCACTTTCACCACTGTTATTTCACATAGTACTGGAAGTTCTAGCTAGAGCAGTCAGACGAAAGAAGGAAATAAAGGACATCCAAAATGGATGGAAGACATCAAATTATCCTTG
Source organism: Homo sapiens (assembly GCF_000001405.40). NCBI lineage: Eukaryota > Metazoa > Chordata > Mammalia > Primates > Hominidae > Homo > Homo sapiens. Next base: position 81,038,369 of record NC_000013.11, read on the forward strand.
TTTGCAGATGATATAATCTTATATTTGAAAAAACCTAAAGACTTCATACAAAATCTATTAGAACTGGAAAACAAATGCAATGAAGTTGCAGGATGAAAAACTAGCATGCAATAATTCATAAATTCTATATGCCAATAGTGAGCAATTTGAAAAAGAAATAAAGTAATCCCATTTACAATAACCACAAATAAAATTTAATACCTAGGAATTAATTTAATCAAACACATAAAAGCTCTCTATAATGAAAACTATAAAACACTGATCAAATAAATTGAAGAGGATCCCCCAAAACTGATAAATTTTATATGTTCATGGATTGGAAGAATCAATATTATTAAAACGTCCATACTACCCAAAGCAATCTACAGATTCAATGCTATCCCTGTCAAAATACCAATTACATTCTTCAAAGGAATGGAAAAAAAATTCCTAAAATTTATATAGCCAAAGCTATTTTGAGGGAAAAAAAACCTGGAGGAATCACATTACCTGACTTCAAATTATACTACAGAGCTATAGTAATCAAAACAGCATGGTACTGGCATAAAAAGAAACACATAGGCTGATGAAACAGAATAGAGAACCCAGAAACAAATCCACACACTCACAGTAAACTCATTTTTGACAAAGATGCCGAGAACCTATGCTGAAGAAAATACAACCTCTTCATTAAATGGTGCTGGGAAAACTGGATATCAATATGCAGAAGAATGAAACTAGATCCTTATCTCTTGCCGTATACAAAAGTGAAATTAAAATGGATTAAAGACTTAAATTTAAAACCTCAAACTTTGAAACTACTACAAGAAAATATTGGGGACAATCCCCAGGACATTGGTCTGAGCAAAATTTCTTGAGTAATACCTCACAAGCACAGGCAATCAAAGCAAAAATTGACAAATGGTATTACATCAAGTTAAAATGCTTTTGCATAGCAGAGGAAACAATCAACAAAGTGAAGAGACAACAGACAGAATGGGAGATATGTTTGCAAACCACTCATCTCACAAGTGATTAAGAACCAGATATATAAGGAGTTCAAACAATTCCATAGGAAAAAGGTACTAATTAGATTTTAAAAAGGGGCAAAAGAATTGAATGGACATTTCTCAAAGGAAGACATACAAATTGCAAACAGGCATATGAAGAGATATTTAACATCATTAATCATCAAAGAAAAGCCAATCAAAACTACAATGAGATATATTTTCTCCCCAATTAAAATGGCTTATATCCAAAAGGCAGGCAATAAACGCTGGCAAAAATGTGAAGAAAAGTGAATCTTTGTACACTGTTGGTGGAAATGTAAGTTAGTATAACCACTATGGAGAACAGTTTGGGGATTACTGAAAAAACTAAAAATAGAGCTAGCATATGATCCAGCAATCCCACTGCTGAGTATATACCTAAAGAAAGAAAATCAGTTGATTGAAGAGATATCTGCACTCCCTTGTTTGTTGCAGCAGTGTTCACAATAGCTAAGATTTGGAAGCAACCTAAACGTCCATCAACAGATTAATGGATAATGAAAATGTGGTACATATACACAATGGAGCACTATTCAGCCATTAAAAAAAAAAAAGAATGAGATTTGTCATTTGCAACAACATGAATGGAACTGGAGGTCATTGTGTTAAGTGAAAGAAGCCAGGCACAGAAAGACAATCTTCACATGTTCTCATTGATTTGTGGGAGCTAAAAATTAAAACAGTTGAACTCATCAAGATAGAGAGTAGAAGGGTGGTTACCAGAGGCTGGGAACAGAGGGACAAGGGGGTGAGGATGGTTAATGGGTACAAGAAAATAGTTAGAAAGAATGAATAACACTTTGTATTTACTAGTACAACATTGTTACTGTAGTCAATAATAATTTTATTGTATATTTTAAAATAATTAAAACAGTATAATTGGATTATTTGTAACACAAAGGATAAATGCTTGAGGTAATCGATATCCCATTTATCCAGATGTGATTATTATGCATTACATGTCTGTATCAAAATATCTTATGTACCCCATAAGTATATATGCTTATTATGTACACATAAAAATTAAAAATAGTAAAATAAAAATATTTTAAAAATGAAATTCATTTTGGAAAGGAAGAGGTAATGATTTATCTCTACTCATAGATAAGATGACCTTCTATATATAAAATCCTAAGAAATACACACACAAGCATAAGCAAACACACCCCCACAGCTGATTATGTCTAATATGTCTAATAAATTCAGTAAGGCTGCAGAATACATAATTAGCATACAAAAAACAATAATAATTCCCTATACTAACAGTGAAGAATATAAAAATTATGTGAAGAAAACAATTCCATTTCCCATGGCATCAAAAAATAAATAAAACAAAGAAATACATTTAGCAAAAGAAATTCAAGGCTTGTGCAATGAAAATTACAAAATATTGTTGAAGGTGAGAAAATATCTAAACAAACATAAAGCAATTCCGTGTTCAGTGATTGGTCAACTAAATATCATTAAAATTGAAATACTCCACGAACTAATCATATTGTGGATTCAAACAATCCCAAACAAATTCTCATTTTTTTATGTCTGTGGAATGTTAGAAGCTAATACCAAATTTTGTATGGAAATGTAAAGGATGCAGAATATTTTAAACAATCTTTAAAATTAGAACAAAATTAGAAGACATATTTCTCCTAATGTCATAACTTAGGAAAACATTTTCAGTAATAAGGACAGTATGGTACTAGAGTAGAAGAGATATTTACACCAATGGAAAAGAAGTGGCATCAAAAAATAAACACTTATGTTCATAATAAAGGTATTTTTGACAAGGGTACAAAGGCAACTCAAGTGGGAGAGTAATAGTCTTTTAACCATATGGCTGAAATAATTGGTTATCCATGCAAAAAAAAAAAAATGAAGTTGAACTCCTACCTCGCACTATATATAAAAATGAACTTAAAACTGACCGTTGACCTAAATGTGAGTGCTAAAACTATACAAATTAAAACAAAACATAGGAGTAAATCTGTGAGGTTGGGTTAGACAATGGTTTTCTATATATGACACCAAAAGTACAAGTAACCAAAGACAATATATAAATACTTTGGATTTCATCACAATCATTTGCAACAACATGGAAAAACATGGAAGACATTATGCTAATTGAACTAAGCTAGGCACAGACTGACAAATTCCACATGAGCTCATTTAAATGTGGAATCTAAAAATGTTGATGTCATAGAAATAGAGAGTAAAACCGTGGTTACTAGAGATTGAGGTTGTTGGCAGGAATTGAGTGACTAGGAGATGTAGATCCCCGGATACATAATTACAGTTAGAAGAAATAAGTTCAAGAGATGTGTTGCACAAGGTGGCTGTATGGTGACTAAAGTTAATGATGATATATTGTGTTCTTGAAAAATGCATAGACAGTGGATGTAAGCATTATTATCCCCAAACTATAACTATTTGAGGCAATACATTATTAATTAGCTAGATTAAACTATTACATAATATATACATACTTTAAACTATCATGTTGTACATGACAAATACATAACAAAATTTTGCATTTTAAGAACACCATCTGGAAAGTGAAAAGACTGCCCACTTATAATCCCAAAATAGAAACGACTTAAATATGCATCAACTGAAGAAAGGATTAACATATGTTGCATATCCATATATACTGTAGTATACTACAAATGTTATTTGGATATGAAAAGGAATGAAATACTGATACCTATGACAACATGGTTGTACCTAAAGAACATTATGCTAAGTAAAAGAAACCAATCACAAAAGACCACATGATACCATTTATAGTAAAATCTAGAATAGGCTAATCCATCAAAATAGAAAGTACACTATTGGCTGCCTATGACTGGAGAAGTGGGGATTGAGGAGTAATTCATAATGAGTATGGGTTTTCCTTCTGTAGTGATGAAAATATACTAAAATTAGGTAGTGATGATGTTTGTATAACTGAATATACTAAAAAAAGATGAAATGTATACTTTAAACAGATGAATACAAAAGACAAAAGAATTACTAATGGTAATATTCCTGTTTATCTGTGCTTGAAATTAATATAAGCTGAATATTTCAATTTTATGGTAATAAATTTCCATCTTATTTAAGGCGGTTTTGATCAAATTTTCCGTAATTTGCAAAAAAGTGTCCTAAGTTTTTTTGTGCTGCTCATAGACATAAAGGCAGAAACAATAGATACTAGGGGCTTCCAAAAGGAAGAGAGAGGGAGGGGGGCAAGAGTTGAAAAACTACCTACTGGATCCAGTGTTCACTATTTGGGCAGCAGGTTCAGTAGAAGCCCAAATCCCAGCATTACGCATTATACCTATGTAACAAACCTGCACATGTGCTCCATGAATCTATAAGTTTAAAAATGTTTTATGTACTGCATACCTAACTTATATAAAGGCAGTTAGGTAATGCCCCAAGAACAGATATCAGAAGGAAACTAAAAATAAAGTTAAGCCATGCTAGTTTTTAATCCCAATGTTAGCTCCAATTAAGTTTGATAAATTTTTTTAGACTACTGAAACAAGGTACATCAAACTAGATTTTTGTTTTTTTAGCATTTGTGGACCGTTTTTTTTTTCAAAATGCAGTAGCAAAAAAAGAAACAAACAATCCCAAACATCCCTACAGCTTTCATTTATAGGAAAAAAATGCCATTATTTTTTGCAATACACTGTATAAAGATCAATTTACTTTCATGAATGCATTGGTAAGGCTGAAATTATATTTTCATTAATAGAGTTCTAGGCCTGAAGATTTAATATATGCAAGAGAACAGCAATTTTCAATAGCATATCCCTTAAAATTATTGTCACTTTAATGGCTTGAGCTAAACAGAATTATTTAAGTTATAAAAGGCTATTTAGATCATTGATTCAATTAGGGCAATTCACCATGTTGTCATTTTTTTATGAACTCATCAGTATACTTGTCACACAAGGTGAACCAATACAGTAAATGAATCATGCCAAAAATCTCTCTATTAGACAAGTTTCATTATCTGGGACAGAGCAGTTATTTAAATATCATTAAAACAGGCTTAAAAGAGGACTAAAAGTGAGTAAAAAGCTGAAATAGAGCAACACAGAGAGAGAAATAGTGATTTAGTGATTTTAATAACTATAAAATATTTCTTCCTTTGATTTGCTTGGAGAAGAAGTGATAACATATCTTTCTTCATCTATTGGACTTAAAACATAACTTTGATCATAAAGCTATGGGACTTGATAATCTTTCCCGGTATACTACTTTTTTGATATTCTTTATACATTCTACAGGTGGAGAGGAGAAAACTCTGTGCTAAATATTACTCCTGGAAAAGTGCATTTGCTTCGGAGAAATCTTTATCATGGGTCTCTAAGAGGAAGGAACAATAGCATCTTCTATGTGCCGAGGTAGCGCAATAATGAACTCTGTTCAAGTGGATCAAAAGCCATCAAGGTCAAAATTAGGCACAGGTGAGGCAGGACTTTTCTGATAGAATTGTATATTAGTCCATTCTCACATTGCTGTAAGTACTTGGGACTGGGTAATTTATAAAGAACAGAAGTTTAATTGGCTCATGTTTCCACAGGCTGTACAGGAAGCGTGATTCTGGCATCTGTTTGGTTTCTGGGAAGGCCTCAGGAAACTTAAAGTCATGGAAGAAGGGGAAGGGAGAGCAGGCACGTCTTACATGACCAAAGCAGGAAGAAGAGAGAGAAGTGTGGAGGTGCTATACACTTTTAAACAGCCAGATCTTGTGAGAACTCTGTCAGAAGAACAGCACTAGGGAAATGGTGCTAAACCATTCTTGGGGACTCCATCCCTGTGATACAATCACCTCCCACCAGGCCCCACCTCCAACACTGAGAATTACAACTCAACATGAGATTTGGATGGGGACACAGATCCAAACCATATCAAATTTTCACACCTTTCAGTAAAGCTTTATATTTTTTAAGGATATTTAAGTACTTGGAAGTAGAAGTAGAGAGTAAGGGGAATATTGTACAGCCATCACAGCCTTTGTCTACTAAAGAAGTCAGTTTCATGTGACAAATGTTCATTTTAATATTCGCTTCTTCAGTCCATCTGGGGGTGTTTCCTTATTTCTATAAGATGCTGCTTTTCAAAAAAATTACCGAAAGCATTCTGGAAATCCAAGAGTAATTGTGTGAACTATAAGCATTAGAAAACACAGACATAAGTTGAAAATATTTATGAACCTAAATAGATGTAAAGCTAGTGACTCATATTTTATAATGTATTCACAGATGATATTTCTTAAATAAAGTAGGCATTTCTTTAAAATAAAAACTCTAATAATATATGTTATTAAGAAGAAAACTAGAAAAGGAAGAAAAAAAGTGATGGTATGTTTGGAAGATGCTGAGGTGAGCTGGTGATAAAATTATCTCCACTGAAAAAGGAATACAAAGAGCAGACACTGAATAAGCCAGACAATGTTTGAGTTTTTTCTGAAACCACTGTGCAGTTTTGGACTTTGACCTGATTTAATTTTCACCTCTGTTCTTCCTCCCACTCCTTCTCTTCCTTCATCTCATCCTCCTCTGCCTTTTACCTCTTTTAAAAATTGCATTTTGCAAACAAATACATGTTTGCCATCAATGAAACTATTTCAAGAGTTCTATAGAGATCAAAATGAAGGGCTTCCTGCGTTGATGGTTAATTCTACCATCTTCCCCAGGTGCAACAGCTGTTAGCAGTATAGCCTTCAGTTACCAGTTTCAGGCATTTACCTATGCGTCTGAACAAATGCATTAAAAAATAATGAACACACATGCAAACTGGTTTGTTTCCATTTTACTTAGCTCTGTAAGGTGCCATGTTTTACATATTCTGCAAATTCTCCCCATGTACAATACACATAAACCCAGTATTATTTTTAACATCTCCAATATTTTGGTACACTTCAATTTATTTACCACTTGTTCCCAATTCTTGGTGATATCAATGTGTCAAGCTCTTTCAAAAGAACTTTGGTTTATCATCCGCCTTTCACCCTGACCATTTATATGTTCATTTTGCTTTGACAAGCAGGACTTGACTTCTTTCAGCTTCCTGACTCACTTGGAATTGTATCAACAGGTGACTGTTATGCTCAAAAACCAATCCACAAATCATAAAAAGTCACTGGAACTTTTTTTTTGAAATGGAGTTTCACTCTGTCGCCCAGGCTGGAATGCAGTGGTGCGATCTCAGCTCACTGCAATATCCGTCTCCCTGGTTCAAGCAATTCTCCTGCCTTAGCCTCCTGAGCAGCTGGGATTACAGGCGCCCACCACCATGCCCAGCTAATTTTTGTATTTTTAGTAGGGACCCGGTTTCATCATATTGGTCAGGCTGGTCTCAAAACTCCTGACTTTGTGATCTGCCCACCATGGCTTCCCAAAGTGTTGGGATTACAGGTGTGAGGCGCTGGCCCTGGCCGGGAACTTCTGAAGATAGCATTAACATCTCACAACTATCAGGGAAAGAATTTGATATTAAAACTTTCAAAATTAAAACCATAAAGGTTCCTCCGCACAGTGTCACTTTTTTAGTCTATCCACTGAATAAAATATTAATTAAAATACATTTATATACAAGGAATACTGCTGCAATATTTTTGTACCTGCAGAAAATATAGACAATATAAATGCCAATGGGGAATGGTTAAATAAAGTGGATTCCACTCATAAAAGTGAATATTATGTCAATCCACCCATGTCTTTTGATCTGGGTGAATTATTTTTATTTTTTAATAAAGAAATGAATTCATTATTTTAATCTAAAGTATAATATTTTTGTTTACTAATACATTTTTATTATTTAAATTATAACTACATAATTTTTCAGAATCAAGTAGCATTTTTTTCCCTTTTATCTTTTGGTACTTATTGGTTACAGCAAAGCAGCTTTTATTATTTACTTTTTAAAATTTCAACATTTATTTTAGATTCAGGAGATACACATGCAAGTTTGCTACTTGGATATGTTTGTGATGCTGAGGTTAGGATGCAATTGATTCTGTCGCCCAGGTACTGAGCACAGAGCCCAATAGTTAATTTTCAATCCTTGACCCGCTCCCATCCTCCCTCTTTGTATTAGTCTGTTCTCACATTGCTATAAAACAAAACCTGAAACTGGGTAATTTATAAAGAAAGCAGGTTTAATTGCTTATGGTTCCATAGGCTGTACAGAAAGTATTATGCTGGCATCTACTTGGCTTTTGGAAAGATCTCAGGAAACTTAAAATCATGGCGGAAGGCAAAGGAGGAGCCAGCACTTCACATGGCTGGAGCAGGAGTAGGGGGAGGTGACAAACACTTTTAAATAACCAGATGTCACCCAGAACTCACTATCATAGGAACTGCACCAAAGGGGAAATCTGTCCCCACGATTTAATCACTTCCAACCAGGCCCCACCTCCAACACTAGGGATCGCAATTTGACATGAGATTTGGATAGAGACACAGATCCAAACCATATCACCCCTCTAGTAGTCCCCACTGACTATCGTTGGCATCTTTATGTCCATGAGTACTAACATTTAGTTCCCATTTATAAATGAGGACATATGGTATTTGGTTCTCTGTTTCTGTATTAATTTGTTTAGGATAGGGGGCTCCATCTGCATACATTTTGCTGCAAAGGGCATGATTTTGTTTTTGTTTTTAATGCTGTGTAGAATTCCATGGTATATATGTACCCCATTTTTAAAATCCAATCTACTATTGACGGGGGCCTAGGTTGCTTACATGTCTTTACTATTGTAAATAGTGCTGCAATGAATATATGAGTGTATGTGTCTTATTGGTAGAATGACGTATTTTCTTTTGGATATTATATATACCCAGTAATGAGGTTGGTGGGTTGAATGGTAGTTCTAAGTTTTTATCTTCATTGTATTTTTCTTACTTAATAATTCACTCAGATCAGAACACTTATACACTGTTGGTGGGAATGTGATATAGTTCAGCCACTCTGGGAAGTGGTTTGGAGAATTTTCAAAGAACTTCAAAAAGGGGGAAATCTGTCCCCATGATTTAATCACCTCCCACCAGGCCCCACCTCCAAAGTGCTAATCTTGCCTACCTGTAGTGGGTAGGACAGGGGTTGAGGGATGATGTGAGGGAAGAAAAACAATGGGCTGTATGTATAGATAGCTATGCATATTTGAGAGATAATACATAATATTATACCTAAGTATTATGTATATGTAGATATATAAATATGTCAAAATTGATCATTCAAAGACATGGTCTGGAAGCTCTTATGACCAAATTAAAATAGAAATTTTATTTTGGAAGATGTTAACAAGCAATTTCTTCTTAGATTTCCATTGTTTCAAAATCTTGTCTGTAATAATAAAGGGCAATTTTTAAAAATAATAAAAAGGATAAACATCCTAAATCAGAAGAGGAAAGAGTGCCAACAATGCACTAGAGATTTCTATACAGGACATAAATAGATATGAGCTACCAATACAAAGAAAATATTTTTATGTGTTCATGTTTTATTTTGCTTCTAAACAGAGTAAATGAAATTATCAGAAAGCACTAGAAAACTCCCAGAGTTTGATTAGCAGAAGCTTACATCAAGATGAAGCAATGGGGTTGTTGGTAGGAACAAGCTGAGTTGTTCAGAAAATGGTGACAGGGCTACCTCCGTGATGCCCTGGACACAAAACTCATCTCTAACCAACACTTGGCATGAAATGTGCCCCGAGTAAAATGTAGGCATTGTAGTGGGCTTTGTGAAAGGGCAATTGTATCTTTTAGAAAAGAGGAACTGTGCATCAACTATCCTTGAGCTAGTACTGAAACACAGAACAAACCAAACGAAACCTTGAGCAACGGTGTCTTGTGCTCTACTCTAATTGCCCTGCCTGGCAGTTTATTCCAGTAGAATTCTGACTTGGCATTGATCCTTGTTAAGCTCACAATCTGGCAAAAGCTGAGGACGCTGTCAAGCTAGCAAGTGTGGTGGTTACAGGGGAGCAGGTGCCCCTAAGCATGACTCAGAATCTACAGTTACCAGAGTTCCTGCCTGGAGCAACTCGACAAAATACGGGCCCCCTCCCTAGTTTACAGCTGCCCACATGGTTAACTCAGCCTTAACATATTATGGCAAACTGGATCAGTAGAATACGAAAAAAAAAAAAAAAATCAGAGTAAACACAAATTTCTTCCTTCTCCCTTTATCTGTAATACAGGTATTTGAAGATGGGTCTGCAATATATCTGACAGAACACATTTAAACTTCCAAAAAGAATGTATTAAAAGAGAGAATACAGAAATATCATTAGGCACATTAAATGACTCCATGGTTGGAAGAAAAATGATTATTTTAGAATTTTGAAAAGAATATTGTAATTTGTAAAAGGCACCCTGTCTCCTTACAGTATGTTGTACATAGTGCCTACAATATTTGAAAACAAATGCCATCAATATAAAGAAAACAAATTGAGTCTGGAGAATATGCTTTCAAGAAACAAACAAAAATACCATATTAAAATGCTATCAAGGGGGCAATAACCATAAGATTAAACAGTAGAGAAATCGAGGTCAAGATATTTCTTTTTTCCTTTTTTTCTTTTTTTGAGATGGAATTTTGTTCCCGTTGCCCAGGCTGGAGCGCAAAGCCCCAGTCTCAGCTCGCCGCAAACTCCACCTCCCCTGTTCAAGTGATTCTCCTGCCTCAGCCTCCCGAGTAGCTGGGATTACAGGTGTGGGCCACCACCCCAGCTAATTTTGTATTTTTAGTAGAAATGGGGTTTCTCCATGTTGGTCAGGCTGGTCTCGAACTCCCGACCCCAGGTGATCCGCCCGCCTCAGCCTCCCAAAATGCTGGGATTACAGGCATAAGCCACCGTGCCTGGCCATATTTTCTTAAATTTAGAAAAAATATGATTTTGCAAAAAGATCAGTTACAAGAGGAGCAAGTTGGAGAATGGAAGTAGGTCTGATATACATGAATTAGGAAATACAGAAAAAATTGAAGATAAAAAGAATAATAATCAATTAAATAATGGAAGAAACTTTCTTCCACATAAAAGAGGATATGCATCTTCATAACAAAATGATTCATTGTTGATCAGGCAAAGGGACTGGAAAAATATTTGTTCATGTATTAGTGTATGTGTGTGTGTGTGAAATTTTATGTTGTCTGATAGCGAAATTCAAAATACTACCAAATTGCTCTCCAAAATGTATTGCTCTGATTTATACTCAAAATTCAGTTCTCACAGTCCTAAAATATGATGCATATTTTTTCCAAATTAAACAAACTTCAAAATTAAATTATACAAAATAATACAAATGTAGATATTAAGAGTTTCCTTAAAAGGTGGTAAGGCTTGAGATGAATAAGGTGAAAAATATCAACTGTATGTATTTCCTAGTAAAAGCAATTCTGTAATTAAGTACTTGACAGGGCTGATGTGATGACACTTTAGTAAGAGTGATATCAAAGTGACTGTGGCCGAATACTCTATTTCATCTGAAGATAGGCACTGTCTTGTGATTTATTGGTCACAGATCAAAGGTAAAAATATTTCTCCCTGCTACAACATATATTTGATTTCCAAAACTGTGAATTCTAGCTTTTAATTCTAGCATATTCTCTGAACTCAATAAATAAAGTCTAATAAAGTAGGCAAATGGCCAAAAGCCTGCTTTAGAAATGTAGGAATATGTCCTTACCCAATTTTGAAACCTTTTAGCTAAATGTTGATCTGAAATTGTATGTAAGCCCACAGTTCCATCTAGAAAATAACTGAGTTTTTGAAAACAGTTGTGACTACTGCAGCCATGCCATATGGCCATCTTTTAGTTGTATTAACTAAGATTACTGGGGAATTTCTAAGTTCCTTATTTTTTTCAACAAATTAGTTTATTCAGTAAAGAATTTGTGACAAAATGAATTTCATTAAAGTCTGCCTAACATACACAAGGTTAGGTAATTATGATAATTATAACCACAAGATTGTAACCTTTAAAACTATCAAAACCACAACTTCTTCTTTAATGATTAAATAAATAATATAACTATTTTACATTAAAAAAGTGATTATAAATTTTTCTTTCATTCAACATTTCTTATTCTTGACCTTTGATTAAATATCTTTAAAGGCACGGTGATCTTCTTGGGTTATAGCAGCTTAAGACTTTTAAAATTGTATATATGTTTTTACTCTAGTGCAGAGAATGCAGCCAACTGATTTTTGAAAGATCATGGCATGGGCTGGGTGCAGTGAGTGGTTCACACCTATAATTCCAGCAGTTTGGGAGGTGGAGGCAGGCAGATTGCTTAAGCCCAGAAGCTCAAGATCAGTTTGGGCAACATGGTGAAACTATTTTCTCTAAAAAAAATTAAAAAAAAAACAACAACAACAACAAAAAAACTAGCTGGCACTGGTAGCACGTGCCGCTAGTCCCAGCTACCCAGGAAGTGGAAATGAGAGGATCACTTGAGCACGGGAGATCTAGCTGTAGTGAGTTTCGATCGCGCCACTGCACTTCAGCCTGTGTGGCAAAATACGACCTTGTTTATTAAAAAAAAAAAAAAAAAAAAAAAGACCATGGCATGGCATGTTCTATAAAATTCATAGTATTTCTGTTGCTGTAATTATGCAAAAGTTTATTTAAAGGACTCCTGGGCCAATTATTGCAAAAGGAAATATCATATTAAAACGTATAGAATATAAAGGATGGGATATCCAATTTTTGTGAATAATTTCAAAAGACATTACACATAAACTTATCTGACATGTTGTAATATGGAGACAGTGAGAGCCACATTTATCTGAATATAGAAAGGAAGACTCAAATCCATGCATTAACACTAACTCAGTTTGGAGGTCAAGCATTGAGGAAGCATGTCCTAAAGGTAATAGAGGCAAAAAACCAAAACATAACCAAAATAAAACTAAAGGCTTATGACTGCTTCCTACTATAGATTTTCCATAAATGCAGAGATTATGTCTGTTCTTCAGAGAAGCACTGTCCTACAATACTGTATAAAATAAACAAAGTCTAATAAAATGGTCTAATTGCCCAGTGCTCCTAAGTTAATGAGAGGACAGTAGTATTAGTTTAGCACACACACTTACCCCATTTATATACATCTTATATTTTACCAGGCATTATTATTGATAGCTTATTTAATTAAATCTTTACATCAAACTTGAGGTAAAGAGAAAAACTATTATAAATATTTTATAATGGATAAAACAATTATGAATATTTAAAATGTTATCAAATGTTTCAGTGTGAGAAATAATATGTTATACGCATAAACTGTAAACATTAGTGGCAAACAATTCAACATGTTGTTATTGTCTTTGTTCTGTATATTTGGAAACCAGGAAATTGAAGTCAATATGGTGTCATACATTGCATTTGATGGAGCTAAAAATGAAATCTAGATCTGTGTATTTCCAATGCCCTTGGTCGTTGTGCATTAAGGTTTTTTACATATTTAGTGCCATAGAATTAATATCTGCTTTTGGCAAAGGATGCTTCAAAATAAAACCAAGATACTTAAATTTGAAGAGATAATAATTTAGAGGAAGCCATGCTTTATCAATGTTAAGAGTTAGGTGGGCAAAATTTTGTTATACTGTCAGACTCATGAGTATGTATACAAGATTGGCTGCCCCTACATATGTAAAGTATAAGCAGTGGAGCTCTGGCACCCTCTCCTGACCCTGTGGAAAGTGAGTGTTTCTGCTGTCTCTTACCCCTTTTTCTCTAACTTGTTTTCATCTAGCTTTTCTCTAGTTCCTGCCTGATCAGGTAGCCATTGATAAAAATAGAGACTTCCTGTGAGCTTTTAAATTTTTAAATTTGCCTCTTCTTTGGATATTTTGAATATTTAAATTTCTTAAAACTCTATCCCAGTGGAATGAATCTTTAATAGTGAGATATGAGTCAGTATGATGTGTGCAGGGGGTATTCAGATGTTTGGAGCTGCACTGCCCTTCAAATTATACCTATCAATCTTGAGTTCCTTAAAAGGTGACATTATAAAAACATAATAATGATTAATTTAAATCCCAATAACTTTGAGAAAAAGGCTTATGGTGAAAAATATTTGTACAAAGTCATTTTAGTCATTATTTGCCAAAGTGCAAGTTGGCAAAAATGAAAAAAGATTGGGCAATTTCTCCTTATTCTATAGTGAAGTTGCAGACACTGAGAATAATACAATAAATGCACTATCTCATTAATGTCATCTATCAGTATAGGCAGAATTGGACATTATTTTCTTTGAATTCTGCTTTAAAAAAGGAAACTAGTTGTAGACACTTTATTTTTTAATACACATTTTTTTCATAGCTGTACAGAGTGAATTTTACTTCAAATGTAACTAATAGTTTATAAACATGAATGTCCAAAAATATTGATATAAAATACTTATACATAATACCCATTATATTTATTATATTTAATGCACATATGCAGGTATGTTTAATCTAAATCCCATGTGAAAACTCTTTAAGGTATAGGCAGTTCACTGTATAGGTGTGAAGTGCTACAGTTTCTAAGTCATTCTTTCATATTATTCAGAGGAACATATAAGCAATCACACTTTGCAATTTATTTTATGTGCCAGTAGATGTATATTGTAGATTCAGTGGTAGCTGAATCTATAATTATTTATTTATTAGAATACTAATAAATTTAGAATATTTTAAATGTTTATCCAAATGACTATGCAGACTGTTTGAAGAGGTTACAAATATCACAGACAGTTAATTAGATGCTCAGGAGAGCTACACATGAGAGACTTTCCCGGCTGCTTCATGGCCTCAATTTAAACTACTCTAGGTCCTCCTATTTAGACGTAAGGCCAGATGTCCTTGATCATCTGCAAGAGTAGTGAAAGGAGTTGTTTCACGTATCACTGTTTAAGGTACAGGCCGGTGACACCATCTGTGAAAAGGAAAATCTAGCTCAGTTTTTGTAGAGCAATTTGAAAGGAGATAATTCATAGAGTTTTAGCACTAGAAATGCTGTGTCATTTGGCTTCGTACCAGAGCAGGACTGAAGGACAGTGCTAACTTTTGCCATACAAAATGTCATTTCCAGTACCCCAGACTATTATTTTCATCATTAACATAGATTGCTAGGTTTTTTTTTCCCAGAAAACATATAGTTTGATTAATTCCCAATCTTACAATTAAGGAGATTTAAAATCCTAATACAACTAGACAAAAGAACATGGAGCAAAAGAAACTGTCATTTATTATTGGTGGAAAACTAAAATGGTACAGCCACTTTGGAAGGCAATTTGCAGTTTCTTACAAAACTAAACCTCATCTTATGATAAGGTCTAGCAATCACACTCTTGGTATGAGTATTTACTTAAAATATATGTCCTCACAAAAACCTGCACATTAATGGTTATAGCATTTTTTTCTTAATTGCCACAATTTGGAAGCAACCAAGATGTAATCTTGTAGTTGAATGGATAAGCAGACTGGTAATCCATGCAATGGAATATTATTCAGTCATAAAAACATGAAGTATCAAGCAACAAAAAGACATGGAGGATACTCATATAAATATTGTCAAGTATTAAATAAAAGTAGTTACTCTGAAAAGGCTACATACTAGACTGATTCTAACTATATGTCTTTCTGGAAAAGATAATAAAAACAATAAGAGCTGTGGTTTCCAGTGGTTGGTGGGAAGTGGGGGAGGGATAAACAGTTGGTTATGATACTATAGTGGTGGTTACCTCCCATTATGGTTTTGTCAAAGCCCATAGCTTGTACAATACAAAGAGTGAACACTAATGGAAACTATGGAATTTTGTTAATAGTAATGTATCATGTTCTCTCATCGATTGTAAGAAATGTGCCATAGTATTTCAAGATATTTATAATAAGGGAAGCTGTGTGGAAGGAGTGTTAGGTGAGGGGAGTAGAGAGCAGCTTACTGTAGTTTCCACTCATTTTTTTCTACAAACCTGAAACAGCTCTAAACAATAACGTCTATTAATGTTTTAAAAAGTATATTATGTCCAGAAGTAGATCTTCATATATACAGTGGGGAAAGGCTGATTTTGTTACTATATAATGCCAAATGAATTGGAAAATTGTATAGAAAATAATTTTCTCTTGATCCTTAATTGCAAGGATAAACATAATCAATCCATATTAATTGTAGGTCTGAATGTACACAGGTAACCAATAAAGTTTTGAGAAGAATACACAGGAGGATATTTGTATGTCCTTAGAGAAAGGCACAAATCTTTATCTAGGACACTGAGAGCACTCAAATAAAAACCTGGAAACTAGCAAATTAGACTTCATTACTTTTAAGAAACCATGTATCCCAAAATATGAGAAAACATATTCACAATAAAGATATTTAGCAAAATATTATTATCTATAACATATAAAAATTACTATAAATATTAGTAAATATAGAAATAAAGATTTATTATAAATCATTTTCAAAAAGATTCTAGTAGAAATAGACAAACGAACAAGCATTTCACAGGAGATAATACATTACCTACTGTCATTGTTAAAATACTTTTTAATTAAATACAATATACTGGCAAAAACATTTAGCAACCAGAAAAGTTACAGAATATTGGTGAAAAGAGAATATCTGACAAACACCTTAAAAAAATCTTTGCCAGCATCTGTTAAAGATGAACATCTGAATACCCTATGATACAGAAATTCCATTTTTAGGTTTAAACCCAGCAGAAACACATAAATATGTTTATTTAATGGCCTTTAGTTAGCTGCTGTTACCAGCTCTATTCATCATAGCCCCAAATTGAAAACTCATAAATTATCAGCATAATGTATATATAATATTTCATATATTTATAGAGTGAAATGCTATATAACATTCATTTTTAATGGAGTGATATCACTCTTAATAGTTTTGGGGATCACAAAATATTTTATACTCTTTTTATGTAGAAAGTGTGTATATATATATTTTAAGTGTATATATATATATTTACACACACACACAAACACACTATGTATATATATATTCACACATATACACACAGTCTCATATATTGAATTCTTCTATTATTAGGGAATAGAGTTTTTAGCTGAATTAAAAATAATATTGTTATTGACCATATCTTAGGCCATACTAAAATAATTCTATAAATTATAAAAATGAAAATCATATAAAAATATTGGAGCAAAATGCAATAAAATCAGAAATTAAACACAACTGAAAAAAAAGCCCCCATCCACATGGCAAAAAGAAAACATGCCTTTATACTATGTTTCTGCCTAAGAGAGACACAAGTATATATAATTGCAAAACATCAAAAATAGCAGTAAAGATAGTCCAACATACTAGAATCTCTGTAATCAATCTGGAAAAATCCACTGAGGAAAATCCATAAACTTCACTTCCCAAATAAAGAAGAAAAACAAGTGAATTAAATTTCAATCTAAAAAATCTATGACAAGTACAGCACAGTGTATTACAATATATTGAATAAATAAAAAAATACGAAGCCACCAAAATGTGGGAGTAATAATAAAAAGTTATATATATCTATATATGTATATATAAAGTGCTATCAAAAATAAATTTTAAAAGTTGGAAATTGACAGGCAATACTTTGTGCTATTCTTTTAAAGTTGCTTCTCACCCCTTTCTTAATCCATATCAATCACTGATATGTTCTCCATATCTCTGATTTTGTTATTTTGAAAATGTTATACAAATGAAGCCACACAACTTTTTAAGATTAACTTTTGTTCACCCAAGATAATGTTCTTGAGATCCATCCAAGTTGTTACATGTATTAATCGTGTGTTACTGCATATGTTTGGGTATTATTATTATTATTTTTTTATTTTGAGACAGTCTTGTTCTGTCGCCAGGCTGGAGTGCAGTGTCACGATCTCAGCTCACTGCAACCTCTGCCTCCCAGGCTCAAGTGATTCCCCTGCCCCAGCCTCCCCACTAGCTGGGACTATAGGCACGCACCACCACGCCTGGCTAATTGTTTGTATTTTAGTAGAGACGAGGTTTCACCACGTTGGCCAGGATGGTCTCGATCTCCTGACCTAGTGATCGGCCTGCCTCAGCCTCCCAAAGTGCTGGGATTACAGGCGTGAGCCACTGCGCCCGGCCCTGGTTATTATTAAATTGGATGGATATTGAATAGATATACCAGAGTTTAACAATTTATTTATTGAAGGATATTTGTGTTTTTAGGAGAGAAAAAATAATATTATTTTTTCACTCAACTCAAGGTTTACTGCTGAGATGTCTATAACAAAAGATAAATTAATGACAGAAAAATATACACATTTATTTAATATGTGTTATGTAACACAGGTACATTCAAAAATGAAGACCCAAAGAAACGGAAAACCCCACGCATTTTTATGTTAAGTTTGATGAAGGGTAGACAGTCATGTAGAAGTACGATTGCACAATGGGGATCTGATCTAATGGTCATAAACTAAGTTCTAGGAATTTTGTAAGGCCTGTATATTCAGATTCTTCTTGGCGTCTCTGTGTCTTCTAGGATATGGATGTTACTTTTTCTCCAAGCATAGGGAAAGTGCCTCTGAAATAAAGATTTTATGACTTGCTTCAGGAAAGAAGAGCAAGAGGAAGGTGACGGTGATCTTCCTGAATCTGCTGTTTTCTCAAATGCCCAGGTACCATATTTTGGTGTAACGTCCCCATCACATCATTGTCACCAGTTTTGGGATATTACAAATAAGATTTGTAATGAATATTCATAAGCAGATTTTTTTTTTTTTTTTGAGACGGACTTTCGCTCTTGTTGCCCAGGCTGAAGTGCAATGGCACGATCTCGGCTCACTGCAACCTCTGCCTCCCAGGTTTAATTGATTCTCCTGCCTCTGCCTCCTGAGTAGCTGGGATTAAAGGTATGTGCACACACACCCAGCTAATTTTGTATTTTTAGTGGAGATGGGGTTTCACCATTTGGTCAGGCTGGTCTTGAACTCCTAACTGCAGGTGATCCATCCGCCTGGGCCTACCAAAGTGCTGGGATTACAGCCATGAGCCACTGCGCCTGGCCACATGAGCAGAATTTTGTGTGGAAATAAGTTTTCATTTCTTTGAGATCAGTTATGTATTTGTTCTGTTTCTTTTTCCAACTTTTTAAAAAATTTCAGCTGGAATAACTTTTAACTAATTGTCTTCAAATTCAATGATTCTTTTCTCTGCTGTGTTCAATTTGCTGATAACCCACTGAGGACATTCTCATTTCTTACACATATGTATGCGTGTGTGTATGTTTGTGTGTGTGCGTGCATGCGTTTTCATTAATCTCATTTTTATAGTTTCCATTTCTGTGTATTATAATATTCTATCTCTGGTTATGCATATTTGATACCTTTTCCACTAGATTCTTTATAATGCAAAAGTTATTTATAAATATTTTTTTCCCTAGTAATTCCAACATTTGGGCCCTTTATGTATCTTCTTCTTTTGATATCTATTGAATGTGGATGATTTATATTCATGGTGTGTATGTGTGTATACATTTCTTTATTGGATTACAGACATATTATGTATATAAACAATAAAAATTGAGATAAATAATCTTTGTGCCCAGTAATAGACATGCCTTTTCTTTTTTAAATTGTTAAAGGTTATGTCAAAAAGACTCAGGTGTCATATTGAAGAGGCTGCCACTGGGCAAACATGATACAATTTGAGCTCCAAAAGTGGTAATATGTAAGACTAAATTAAATTCATCAAATATGTTTAAAGTCATAATTTCTTAATAATAATAATTAGACAATTTTAGGAAAATAATAGGGAAGCAAATCATTATCCTTAAAATAAGATATAAAAGGAAAAGATTTATCCTGTCCTTCCAAAGGAGTTATATTACTATGAAACCAAATAGTAGTTGCTATGGTCTGAATACTCATGTCTCCCCAAAATCTCTGTTTTGAAATCCTCACTCCCAAGTTGGATGGTTTCAGGAGGTGGAGCCTTTGGGCAATGATTAAGTAATAGGTTGGGCCCCTCGTGAGTAAGATTCATGCCCTTATAAGAGGTCTGAGAGACATTCCTCATCCCTTCCACCATGTAAGGACACAGAAACAAGGCACTGTCTATGAGCCAGGAATTGGGCTCTGACCAGACACTGAATCTGCCTTGGCCATGGACATTCCAGCTTCCAGAAGTAAGAGAAATAAATTTCTAGTTTGTGGTTATTTGTTATAGTGGCCCAAGTGGACTCAGGCAGTAATTGAACCGTGTTTTTACCTTTAATTTGGCTATT
Source organism: Homo sapiens (assembly GCF_000001405.40). NCBI lineage: Eukaryota > Metazoa > Chordata > Mammalia > Primates > Hominidae > Homo > Homo sapiens. Next base: position 81,058,657 of record NC_000013.11, read on the forward strand.
GCCATTTGCTACTCACTAGGCAGCAGCAATTGATTTAGTCATGGAAGGTCAACCACTGATTATACCACAAGACGTGCTTCTTGATAAAACAAGACAATACCTATAGTCTTGCCAAAGGAATTGAAAATGAATCTGAGGAAAACTCTGGGGCCAACTGGCAATTTGCAAAAAGTATAAATGACAGAGGAACATCCTGAAATGAGTATGCAATCAGCAAAATCCAGACTGCAGAAAAACCTAAATGTCAAACATCACATGATTTTCAACAAATAAGTTACAAGGAAATAAAAAGGACAGAAGGGAATCTGTAAATTAGAAAAGACTGAAACATAAAATTAAAATAAAGTTGGCAAGACTAAACTGTTATTTGGGAAGCACACCTGGAGGATAAAACGTTGATAATATGAAAGGAAATGACTAATATAAGAGTCAGGATGCTGGCTAATCTTGAGGGAAAGGGTGGTTTTGAGACTGAATCTGAGCCCATGAGGAGCCTCTACTGTTTGTGGCTTTGTTATATTTCTTGGATTTTGTAGTTTTTACCTTATTAAAATTTATAAGAATTTACTAAGCCATGTGACTGCTGTTTACAGTTTTCTTCCATCTGTATTCTATTTTACATTTAAAGAGGCTTTTTAAAAAGACAGAGAAGATCATTTTACATATTAATCCTTAATAATTCAGAAGGGCACAATGAAACTGCACTGAGATACTAATAGAAAATAAAAACAAACACGTTTTTCTTTTTCTTTTTTTTTGAGACCGAGTCTCACTCTGTCGCCCAGGCTGGAGTGCAGTGGCATGATCTCGGTTCACTGCAACCTCCGCCTCCTGGGTTCAAGCAATTCTCCTGCCTCAGCCTCCTGAGTAGCTGGGATTACAGGTAGGTGCCACCATGCCTGGCTAATTTTTGTATTTTTATAGATAACACGGTTTCACCATGCTGGCCAGGCTGGTCTCAAACTACTGACCTCAGTTGACCCTCCCGCTTCAGCCTCCCAAAGTGGTGTAATTACTGGTGTGAGCCATCGCTCCTGGCCTACATTTTTCTTTATGTGAAAAGAATCAAAGAACATCAATGTACTCTTTCTTGTTAATAGTTTCCAAAAAGTCATTTATTTGATGACTGGGTAGATCCCATTATTTAATTATTTTGAAAAGTACATATTTTATTTTATTCATGAGTCATGGTCATTTTAAGAGTTTGGATTTCACCTGAACAGAATTGTGGTTTATTTTAACATTCAATGAAATAATAGATCAATTCAACAAACTACACATTTCACACTTGCTTTGAGATAAATTGACCTTCACCGAATTAGCTTCTCTTCACAAGGTAACCTATATAAAAAATGCCAATTTGCATGAAGACCTTTTAAAAGACAGCAGGGGTTCAGTACAAGCTACTGAGAGTTTTCTTGTTCTCTAACAGAAATTCACTCAAGAATAATGAAAAGTGACTTTTTCATGCACCTTCCTTTATTTTCGTGCCTGAAATCACAGATTGTACACAAAGGGAATGTGCTAAGCTGAACATAGGCAAGAAACAGCAATGGCAGCAACAACAAAAGTTAGTGATGCATTGAAATCTATATATCGTTATGTAGTCCCTCCCCATATATATATACAGACATAGAAGGGACTACATAACGATATATAGATTGTATATATGTATATATATATATAGAGAGAGAGAGAGAGACAGATTTCTCTCTATTTCTTGATTATATATTATATAATATATAATATGCTATATTATATATTACATAATATGTAACATTCTATTTCTTGATTATATATTACATATATATATAATCAGCAAACTGCTATTCCCAGAAAAATTATTTAAGCAATACCTCTTTCACTTCCTTAAGAAAAAGCAATACTGGATTAGAAATATTTTTTAAAAATTAAACATTCTATGAAAGTGACCTGTGAATGCACAATCAGTGCTTTTTGCTCTTGTTATACATGCAAAGAGGTATGGAGAGTGCCAGTAGGTTTTAATGTATTTACAGCATTGAACATAAAGGTCAATCATCTAAAAAGAAAAAGGCATCAGCAGTTAGAAACTGCATTCCAATGCATAGATTTGCAGCCAAAGAATTTTATTATTAATGAGACACAAAGAGAGCAAATAATTTTCAGATGCAATTTATGAAGATTAGATATCATCTGTATAACAGAAAGAAGCAAAGATCAATATATTCACATTTTACTTGTTTTGCTGCTAAGCATGTCTGTCGATTTATTTTTGTAAATATTGTCTTTTTATTGTTATTACTTCTATGATCTACATTAACAAGGTTAGTAAAAAATCTTCCTGTCGATGGCGACTTTACTATAATATATATATATATGTAATTTTTTTTGAGACGCAGTCTTACTCTGCTGCCAGGCTGGAGTGCAATGGCACAATCTCGGCTCACTGCAACCTCCACCTGCCGGGTTCAAGCAATTCTTCTGCCTCAGCCTCCCGAGTAGCTGGGACTACAGGCACGTGCCACCATGCCCGGCTAATTTTTCATATTTTTAGTAGAGAGGGGGTTTCACCTTGCTGGCCATGCTGGTCTCAAACTCCTGACCTCGTGATCTGCCTGCCTTGGCCTCCCAAAGTGCTGGGATTACAGGCATGAGCCACCGCGCCCGGCCCTTTACACTATTTACTTACCATAATTTTTACATTCTAAGTATGAAGAATTCATTCTAGTTGAATTTTTCCCCCACTGGGTGTTAGATTCTTAGTTTTCCTCTAGATGGCGGAGTAGTATTCTAAATGTAAAAGATGTCCTTTGTGATAAACATTTTAAACATTTATGTTGTATTTGCCAGCCTGGTTGAAAAATATTTTTCCCCTTTTCTGCAGTTAAAACAGAGTACATTCATGTGGTATATTTTGAAATTGGCATATACAATGAAATAAGGAACAAGTAAGTGCAATATTTTTAAAGTTAATTAAGTGATAGCATATGGAAAAGTGTAGTAATGTTTGATATATTTACATTCACCAAATAACCTATAAACAGTCCAAGAGGCTTTAACATACCATATCTTACCCTCAAGAGTATTGCTTGGCATTCTGTTTTGCAGCTTTTAGTATTTGTCGCAGAGTTCCTGATGAAAGAACGCTAAGAAAAACCCCTTGTGGTAGTTTAGTGCAACTTGCGACAAGAGAATTTCCCATCAAACTTTCAGGACAAATATGTTGAAGAGCAGTTCTCAGTCTAAAATGGAGTTTCAGCAACACTGTTGTGAGCTCTTCCAAATGTCCTGTATTCCCTTTCTCCACATGTTCTCAAGCAATAAATTGAAGCAGCTTACAAACTATCTATTTCCTCTGCAAACACACAGGGTGGTTGCGATTCTGAATTAAGAGACTTACAAACTGAGGAAGCCTTTCAGTCTTTCCCCATTTCTAGCCTCATTGCCATAAGAGTATTTGTATGGCATTTACAGCTTCCAAGCAGCCATTTTTGGTATTTCGCTGATGGCATCATATGTGAATTTGATTTTTATGTGGAACATCTATATCTTCCCTGGTTTCCTATATAGAGCCCAAAATATAGAAGCACAAAGTATGACAGATAAACAACAGATTTAGTAAATAAGACAGTGGTATTAAACTTAATAAGAAGAGATAATGTCAAAGCTATCCTAGTATGATAAACGTATGAGATCTATAAAGAATAACGTCAACAAAACTTACTAAGAAGGGAACTATTGTTAATCTTTTCCTCCTGAGTCAAATATATCATTTCAGGTTTTCAGTACCTGGGACATGCAAGTAAAACAAGGGCAATAATTATTAATTGGGAGGGAGATAAGCAAGTATTTCTCACTAGAATCAAGTTAATTGTTGGAAAGCAGGCATTCCAGAGACAATTGCTTAAAATGCAATACTTTTGGCCTGGAATGTTGTACTCCCGTATGTCAGAGAGAAGACATTACTCAACTCTTCTTAACTTAATTCAATGAAAATATAATTTTATATAAATGTGAACTATTCTTCCTCTTTTGTGGAAATATAAAGGTAGGATTGCAATCCTACTTTATTCTTATCTTTATTCCAATGTTCTTATTGCTTAAGAAAGACTGGGACTTATTAAATGGAAAATGAAGAACATTTTGAAAAAATAGTATACAATGTGCTAATTTATCTAGTCAAATTATAAAAATAAAATTGTACGGTAAAGATACCATTTCAACAAATAAGATAAGAAGGCTTTTGCTTTAAATATTCAGATATCTAAGATTTAGCATTTGATTCTGATTATATTAAGAAAAATTCTTGTATTAGTCTGTTCTCATGCTGCTAATTACCACAGACTGGGTAATTATAAAGGGAAGAGGTTTAATGGACTCACAGTTCCACATGGCTGGGGAGGATATATTTATTTTGTTGCCATTATGTATTTAATTTTCAATTATTTATCCAAATCACATGCAATATTGTACAACCAATATTTTAGGCCTCACAATCATGGCGGATGGCAAAGGAGGAGCAAAGGCATATCTTACATGGCAGCAGACAAGAGAACATGTGCAGGGGAACTGCCCTTTATAAAACCATCAGATCCCAGGAGACTTATTCACTATCATGGGAACAGCATGGGAAAGACCCGCCCCCAAGATTCAATTACCTCCCACCGGGTCCCTCCCACAACACATGAGGATTATGTGAGCTACAATTAAAGATGAGATTTGGATAGAGACACAGCCAAATCATATTAATTCTCTATTCTCATCTTCATTTTACATATGCGTTGGGAATAGGCCCCCAAACTCTGGCCATAAGGGGCCCCAAAACTGGCCATAAACAAAATCTCTGCAGCACTGTGACATATTGGTGGCCATGATGCCCACACTGGAAGGTTGTGGGTTTACTGGAATGAGGGCAAGGAACACCCAGCCCACCCAGGGCAGAAAACTGCTTAAAGGCATTCTTAAACCACAAACAATAGCATGAGTGATCTGTGCCTTAAGGACATACTCCTGCTGTAGATAACTAGCCCAACCCATCCCTTTATTTCGGCCCATCCCTTTATTTCCCATAAAGAATACTTTTAGTTCAGCTATAATCTATAGAAACAATGCTTATCACTGGCTTGCTGTCAATAAATATGTGGGTAAATGTCTGTTCGAGGCTGTCAGCTCTGAAGGCTGTGAGACCCCTGATTTCCCACTCCACACCTCTATATATCTGTGTGTGTCTTGTAATTCCTCTAGTGCCACTGGGTTAGGGTCTCCCCTACCAATCTGGTCTCCACACATATGTAAGCATGAAAGTGATATATTTATTTTGTTTCCATTATGTATTTATTTTTCAATTATTTATCCAAATCACATGCAATATTATACAACCTATATTTCCTATATTTTAGGCTATGCTTTTAAAATGTATAAGTGTGTATTAACTATATAAGAATTTTCTTTTTAATTTTATTATTATTATACTTTAGGTTTTAGGGTACATGTGCACATTGTACAGGTTAGTTACATATGTATACATGTGCCAGGCTGGCGTGCTGCACCCATTAACTCGTCATTTAGCATTAGGTGTATCTCCTAATGCTATCCCTCCCCCCTCCCCCCACCCCACAACAGTCCCCAGAGTGTGATGTTCTCCTTCCTGTGTCCATGTGTTCTCATTGTTCAATTCCCACCTATGAGTGAGAACATGCGGTGTTTGGTTTTTTGTCCTTGCGATAGTTTACTGAGAATGATGATTTCCAATTTCATCCATGTCCCTACAAAGGACATAAACTCATCCTTTTTTATGGCTGCATAGTATTCCATGGTGTATATGTGCCACATTTTCTTAATCCAGTCTATCATTGTTGGACATTTGGCTTGGTTCCAAGTCTTTGCTATTGTCAATAGTGCCGCAATAAACATACATGTGCATGTGTCTTTATAGCAGCATGATTTATAGTCCTTTGGGTATATACCCAGTAATGGGATGGCTGGGTCAAATGGTATTTCTAGTTCTAGATGCCTGAGGAATCGCCACACTGACTTCCACAATGGTTGAACTAGTTTACAGTCCCTCCAACAGTGTAAAAGTGTTCCTATTTCTCCACATCCTCTCCAGCACCTGTTGTTTCCTGACTTGTTAATGATTGCCATTCTAACTGGTGTGAGATGGTATCTCATTGTGGTTTTGATTTACATTTCTCTGATGGCCAGTGATGGTGAGCATTTTTTCATGTGTCTGTTGGCTGCATAAACGTTTTCTTTTGAGAAGTGTCTGTTCATGTCCTTCACCCACTTTTTGATGGAGTTGTTTGTTTTTTTCTTGTAAATTTGTTTGAGTTCATTGTAGATTCTGGATATTAGCCCTTTGTCAGATGAGTCAGTTGTGAAAATTTTCTCCCATTTTGTAGGTTGCCTGTTCACTCTGATGGTAGTTTCTTTTGCTGTGCAGAAGCTCTTTAGTTTAATTAGATCCCATTTGTTAATTTTGGCTGTTGTTCCCATTGCTTTTGGTGTTTTAGACATGAAGTCCTTGCCCATGCCTATGTCCTGAATGGTGATACCTAGGTTTTCTTCTAGGGTTTTTATGGTTTTAGGTCTAACATTTAAGTCTTTAATCCATCTTGAATTAATTTTTGTATAAGGTGTAAGGAAGGGATCCAGTTTCAGCTTTCTACACATGACTAGCCAGTTTTCCCAGCACCATTTATTAAATAGGGAATCCTTTCCCCATTGCTTGTTTTTCTCAGGTTTGTCAAAGATCAGATAGTTGTAGATATGCGACCTTATTTCTGAGGGCTCTGTTCTGTTCCATTGATCTATATCTCTGTTTTGGTACCAGTACCATACTGTTTTGGTTACTGTAGCCTTGTAGTATAGTTTGAAGTCAGGTAGCGTGATGCCTCCAGCTTTGTTCTTTTGGCTTAGCATTGACTTGGCGATGCGGGCTGTTTTTTGGTTCCATATGAACTTTAAAGTAGTTTTTTCCAATTCTGTGAAGAAAGTCATTGGTAGCTTGATGGGGGTGGCATTGAATCTATAAATTACCTTGGGCCATATGGCCATTTTCACGATATTGATTCTTCCTACCCATGAACATGGAATGTTCTTCCATTTCTTTGTATCCTCTTTTATTTCATTGAGCAGTCATTTGTAGTTCTCCTTGAAGAGGTCCTTCACATCCCTTGTAAGTTGGATTCCTAGGTATTTTATTCTCTTTGAAGCAATTGTGAATGGGAGTTCACTCATGATTTGGTTCTCGGTTTGTCTGTTATTGGTGTATAAGAATACTTGTGATTTTTGTACATTGATTTTGTATCCTGAGACTTTGCTGAAGTTGCTTATCAGCTTAAGGAGATTTTGGGCTGAGACAACGGGGTTTTCTAGATATACAATCATGTCATCTGCAAACAGGGACAATTTGACTTCCTCTTTTCCTAATTGAATACCCTTTATTTCCTTCTCCTGCCTAATTGCCCTGGCCAGAACTTCCAACACTATGTTGAATAGGAGTGGTGGGAGAGGGCATCCCTGTCTTGTGCCCGTTTTCAAAGGGAATGCTTCCAGTTTTTGCCCATTCAGGATGATATTGGCTGTGGGTTTGTCATAGATAGCTCTTATTATTTTGAGATACGTCCCATCAATACCTAATTTATTGAGAGTTTTTAGCATGAAGTGTTGTTGAATTTTGTCAAAGGCCTTTTCTGCATCTATTGAGATAATCATGTGGTTTTTGTCTTTGGTTCTGTTTATATGCTAGATTACATTTATTGATTTGCGTATATTGAACCAGCCTTGCATCCCAGGGATGAAGCCCACTTGATCATGGTGGATAAGCTTTTTGATGTGCTGCTGGATTCAGTTTGCCAGTATTTTATTGAGGATTTTTGCATCAATGTTCATCAAGGATATTGGTCTAAAATTCTCTTTTTTGGTTGTATCTCTGCCCGGCTTTGGTATCAGGATGATGCTGGCCTTAAAATGAGTTAGGGAGGATTCCCTCTTTTTCTATTGATTGGAATAGTTTCAGAAGGAATGGTACCATTTCCTCCTTGTACCTCTGGTAGAATTCGGCTGTGAGTCCATCTGGTCCTGGACTCTTTTTGGTTGGTAAGCTATTGATTATTGCCACAATTTCAGAGCCTATTATTGGTCTATTCAGAGATTCAACTTCTTCCTGGTTTAGTCTTGGGAGGGTGTATGTGTTGAGGAATTTATCCATTTCTTCTATATTTTCTAGTTTATTTGCATAGAGGTGTCTGTAGTATTCTCTGATGGTAGTTTGTATTTCTGTGGGATCAGTGGTGATATCCCCTTTATCATTTTTTATTGTGTCTATTTGATTCTTCTTTATTTTCTTCTTTATTAGTCTTGCTAGCAGTCTATCAATTTTGTTGATCTTTTCAAAAACCAGCTCCTGGATTCATTGATTTTTTGAAGGGTTTTTTGTGTCTCTATTTCCTTCAGTTCTGCTCTGATTTTAGTTATTTTTTGCCTTCTGCTAGCTTTTGAATGTGTTTGCTCTTGCTTTTGTAGTTCCTTTAATTGTGATGTTAGGGTGTCAATTTTGGATCTTTCCTGCTTTCTCTTGTGGGCATTTAGTGCTATAAATTTCCCTCTACACACTGCTTTGAATGTGTCCCAGAGATTCTGGTATGTTGTGTCTTTGTTCTCGTTGGTTTCAAAGAACATCTTTATTTCTGCCTTCATTTCGTTATGTACCCAGTAGTCATTCAGGAGCAGGTTGTTCAGTTTCCATGTAGTTGAGCGGTTTTGAGTGAGTTTCTTAATCCTGCGTTCTAGTTTGATTGCACTGTGGTCTGAGAGACAGTTTGTTATAATTTCTGTTCTTTTACATTTGCTAAGGAGAGCTTTACTTCCAACTATGTGGTCAATTTTGGAATAGGTGGGTTCTGGTGCTGAAAAAAATGTATATTCTGTTGATTTGGGGTGGAGAGTTCTGTAGATGTCTATTAGGTCCGCTTGGTGCAGAGCTGAGTTCAATTCCTGGGTATCCTTGTTAACTTTCTGTCTCGTTGATCTGTCTAATGTTGACAGTGGGGTGTTAAATTCTCCCATTATTAATGTGTGGGGGTCTAAGTCTCTTTGTAGGTCACTCAGGACTTGCTTTATGAATCTGGGTGCTCCTGTATTGGGTGCATATATATTTAGGATAGTTAGCTCTTCTTGTTGAATTGATCCCTTTACCATTATGTAATGGCCTTCTTTGTCTCTTTTGATCTTTGTTGGTTTAAAGTCTGTTTTATCAGAGACTAGGATTGCAACCCCTGCCTTTTTTTGTTTTCCATTTGCTTGGTAGATCTTCCTCCATCCTTTTATTTTGAGCCTATGTGTGTCTCTGCACGTGAGATGGGTTTCCTGAATACAGCACACTGATGGGTCTTGACTCTTTATCCAATTTGCCAGTCTGTGTCTTTTAATTGGAGCATTTAGTCCATTTACATTTAAATTTAATATTGTTATGTGTGAATTTGATCCTGTCATTATGATGTTAGCTGGTTATTTTGCTCATTAGTTGATGCAGTTTCTTCCTAGCCTCAATGGTCTTTACAATTTGGCATGATTTTGCAGTGGCTGGTACCAGTTGTTCCTTTCCATATTTAGTGCTTCCTTCAGGAGCTCTTGTAGGGCTGGCCTGGTGGTGACAAAATCTCTCAGCATTTGCTTGTCTGTAAAGTATTTTATTTCTCCTTCACTTATGAAGCTTAGTTTGGCTGGATATGCAATTCTGGGTTGAAAATTCTTTTCTTTAATAATGTTGAATATTGGCCGCCACTCTCTTCTGGCTTGTAGAGTTCTGCCAAGAGATCCGCTGTTAGTATGATAGGCTTCCCTTTGTGGGTAACCCGACCTTTCTCTCTGGCTGCCCTTAACGTTTTTTCCTTCATTTCAACTTTGGTGAATCTGACAATTATGTGTCTTGGAGTTGCTCTTCTCGAGGAGTATCTTTGTGGCTTTCTCTGTATATCCTGAATCTGAATTTTGGTCTGCCTTGCTAGATTGGGGAAGTTCTCCTGGATAATATCCTGCAGTGTGTTTTCCAACTTGGTTCCATTCTCCCTGTCACTTTCAGGTACACCGATCAGACGTAAATTTGGTCTTTTCACATAGTCCATATTTCTTGGAGGTTTTGCTCATTTCTTTTTATTCTTTTTTCTCTAAACTTCTCTTCTCACTTCATTTCATTCATTTCATCTTCCATCACCGATACCCTTTCTTCCAGTTGATCGCATCGGCTCCTGAGGCTTCTGCATTCTTCACGTAGTTCTGGAGCCTTGGCTTTCAGCTCCATCAGCTCCTTTAAGCACTTCTCTGTATTGGTTATTCTAGTTATACATTCGTCTAAATTTTTTTCAAAGTTTTTAACTTCTTTTCCTTTGGTTTGAATTTCCTCCTGTAGCTCGGAGTAGTTTGATCGTCTGAAGCCTTCTCTCAGCTCGTCAAAGTCATTCTCCGTCCAGCTTTGTTCTGTTGCTGGTGAGGAAATGTGTTCCTTTGGAGGAGGAGAGGCACTCTGCTTTTTAGAGTGTCCAGTTTTTCTGCTGTTTTTTCCCCATCTTTGTGGTTTTATCTACCTTTGGTCTCTGATGATGGTGATGTACAGATGGGTTTTTGGTGTGGATGTCCTTTCTGTTTGTTAGTTTTCCTTCTAACAGAAAGGACCCTCAGCTGCAGGTCTGTTGGAGTTTGCTAGAGGTCCACTCCAGACCCTGTTTGTCTGGGTATCAGCAGCGGTGGCTGCAGAACAGTGGATTTTCGTGAACCACGAATGCTGCTGTCTGATCGTTCCCCTGGAAGTTTTGTCTCAGAGGAGTACCCGGCCGTGTGAGGTGTCAGTCTGCCCCTACTGGGGGGTGCCTCCCAGTTAGGCTGCTCTGTGCTCAGGGGTCAGGGACCCACTTGAGGAGGCAGTCTGCCCGTTCTCAGATCTCCAGCTGCGTGCTGGGAGAACCACTGCTCTCTTCAAAGCTGTCAGACAGGGACATTTAAGTCTGCAGAGGTTACTGCTGTCTTTTTGTTTGTCTGTGCCCTGTCCCCAGAGGTGGAGCCTACAGAGGCAGGCAGGCCTCCTTGAGCTGTGGTGGGCTCCACCCAGTTGGAGCTTCCTGGCTGCTTTGTTTACCTAAGCAAGCCTGGACAATGGTGGGCGCCCCTCCCCCAGCCTTGCTGCCCCCTTGCAGTTTGATCTCAGACTGCTGTGCTAGCCATCAGCGAGATTCCGTGGGTGTAGGACCCTCTGAGCCACGTGCGGGATATAATCTCCTGGTGGGCTGTTTTTTAAGCCCGTCGGAAAAGCGCAGTATTAGGGTGGGAGTGACCCGATTTTCCGGGTGCTGTCTGTCACCCCTTTGACTAGGAAAGGGAACTCCCTGACCCCTTGTGCTTCTCGAGTGAGGCAATGCCTCGCCCTGCTTCGGCTCACGCACGGTGCACTGCACCCACTGTCCTGCACCCACTGTCTGGCACTCCCTAGTGAGATGAACCCAGTACCTCAGATGGAAATGCAGAAATCACCCGTCTTCTCCGTCACTCATGCTGGGAGCTGTAGACCGGAGCTGTTCCTATTCGGCCATCTTGGCTCTCTCCCCTATAAGAACTTTTATATATGCTGTTACTTTAATGCCCCAAGAATCTTGAACTAAATATATATTTATTTCAGTTTGCAAAATAGGAAAATTTTAACTCAGAAAAATTAAATAACTTGATCAAGACAATAAATAAATAACTGGAATTTGCCCCCTGTAGCTTCAGCCTGATGTTTTAATTTGCTTTCTATTATTCATTATATTTAATTAATCTAATCTTCTGATATTCAGTATATCTCCTTCAGGCTCCAATATTTTTATTCATCAAGCTAGCTGGATCTGATTAAATTAGTAGACTTTCCAAATTAAGAATGCCAAGTAATTTTATTATGTTTGCTCTGTTTCTTAGGACTGCTTTCTCTCTAATCACTTGCCTTATTAGTTGGTCATTGACTGTGAAAAAAGAAAGCCTTCCAGTTTTATGAGATAGAACTTAAATGGTCCTTTGGAGATTGTGAACTTCACATCCTTAGAGGAAATGTCAGGAAAATTGAAGTCCTCATGGTTTGTGAGTAGCATGACCTTTGCATTAGCTTTTCTAACTGTTTAAATTGTTCCTAATCTGTATTCTAACTCATGATGACATTTATGGCTGCCCTCTGAAATCGTCACATTTCACTTAACTGTATCATATTAGAAATGCAGGTAAACTCTTATGACTTACATACATTTACTTGCTAGATGCATTCTCCAGATAGGCCTAAAAGAAAAGCAGTACTCTTCCTGACCTGTGATTTTAATAATGTCTACATTGCCAATGATTCTCATTCAGCTTTCAATCAATAAATGTCTCAAAAGTTATTTTAATTGTCGTTCATTTAAGCAAAGTAAGTTTTTACTCTTTTTAAATTGTTTAGGCATCAGCTAAATTGATTTTTATTTTTTAAAATTCAGTTTCCATACCGATGAAGCAAAGGAGTTAAATTATTTTATTCTTAAAAATTTTCACAGCTTTAAAATTCAATGTACTCTATGATTCAATTATTTTTACTTACTTATAATTAAGCTACACAAATATTTGTAAAATTCCCTTTGAGGATCGATCTATCTATCTATCTATCTGTCTATCTATCTATCTATCTATCTATCATCTTTCTTTGGTGAAAGTTTAAATGCTGTTTAATTCATATACAAACACACACATTAATATTCACAGTTACATTTAATTTGATTACTTTCTTAGTGTACCGATAACTTCAATATTCTTACTGTATTTATAAAGTATGATTCATCTACACTTAGAAGCAATATAATTCTTTATTTCTAGTCTTTGTTAATAATTGATTTTAGAGCCTCAAAATAAATATAGACTAATTGTTACCCTCGAAGATACTTTTTGTTTACTTTAATCCTTACAAGAAGATAAAATTTTCGGAAGCATGCATGGTTATTTCTTTGCTCTCTTTTGATACAGAGAGCTGAAATTGATTTTCATTTTCTCTCTTATGTGAAAAGCAACATTTTGAGTTCAGTTGCTTTTACCTTGAGAATACCATCTCATGTTTTCAGGTCCCTAGGCAATGGTCATGGCGTATTTCCAAAAAGTGAATCTCTATAAGTTGTCAGAAAACATTTCCTGTGGCCTGGTTGCCATCCCATCTGGATGCCAAAATCTCTTCCACTATGAATTGTGGTCTTTGATCCAGAAATTGGAAGAATAGAGTGAAGAACAATGTGACTTTTCATCACCTGCAAATAGCATATCCATTACTCAAACATGGGTTATGAATTTGTATTTCTTTATTGCTGTTACATATATGAGATAAAAACAAAGAAATGTACAAGAAGAGAAAGAAGTGAAATGAAACACAAATATTCATTACCTCAGTGGTCACTTTTATTATGATGACAAAATTGGTAACTTAAATTTGAAACACTTGGAGCCTGTTTATATAGTGAGTTTGTATGATGAAATATTATAGAATCATTTAAAAATCATGTTTATTAATACTCATTGACATAGAAAATTTTATATGTTGTTAAATAGAATACTAATATAAAAATGTTAAGACATGCATGCAATATTGTCATAATCCACAGAGACAGACACACGCACACACACACACTGCATGTACCAAAACTGTGAATAGTTTTAAACTTGACTAATGTGAAAAAAGAGGCAAGTATTGTTGCAATAGTGTGAGTGCAACACAAAACAGGAGTTACAGCAAGAAAACATATACTCCTCTAAAAACATCTTTAGAAAACTATAGCCAAACTCTGAGAAATGTCCAGCATTAATATATCCTATTTTTATGATTCTGAGAAATAAATATGGAAAAACTACATACAGAATATTGCTGCCGCTAACTTATAAATATATGATCAGAGCTGAAAATACACCACTTTGTCTTTTCTTTCAACCAGTGACACAGATTATTTCTGGCAGAAAATAGTAAGTGCTGCTCTTTATTGGAGCCTTTCACTGAAAATGCACCTCATGCCTAATTCAATTCAACTAGTCAATTTTTATTGAATATACCGTGTGTTTAGGGTATATTCAATTGTGCATTTTGGTTAGGCACATTCAGAGAAGAGGAAACACCCCCGAAGTATGTTTTGGTGCTAAAATATATAATAGAGAGATTTAGTTCTGTGGGACACAGAGAAGGCCAGGACTATTGTGACCTGTAATGGTTGGAAAATAGTTTTGAGGCCCATGGCAGTGTTTGTCATATTTACTGCTGCATGTCAAGTGCCTGGGACAATGCTTAGAACCTAAGGGTGCTACTCCAAAGCACCTGCTCTTAAAAATAGCACAATAATGTCCCTAAACACATCAAGGTTAATAAGACATAACAAAAATAATGAATACTATTACAAAGCATTCATTTCTGAGGACTTATAAAATTTAAAGCATTCTAGATCTTTATAAAATCGAATTCTTCCATGAAATATTCAATCACCCTAAATAAATCCTTTTCAATCTGAAATCCATTTAACTTATTGAGAGAAACGAGAAAAATCTTCAGCATGCTTACCACAAACCCCTTGCCTAGGATGTATTCACGAAATACCTAAGACATATTTCTTAAATGAATTTTTACTCAATACTTCTTAAATGAATACTTCTTAAATGAATACTTCTTAAGTGAAATACTTCTGGTGTTTTGTTTTTTGTTGTTTTTTTTTTTTTTTTTTTTTTTGCAATGTAGTCTCACTCTGTCGCCCAGGCTGGAGTGCAGTGGTGCGATATTGGCTCCTTGCAACCTCTGCCTCCTGGATTCAAGTGATTCTCCTGCCTGGGCATCCTGAATAACTGGGACTACAGGTGCCTGCCACCATGCCTGGCTATCTTTTGTATTTTTAGTAGAGATAGGGTTTAACCATATTGGCCAGTCTGGTCTGAAACTCCTGACCACTTGATCCGCCCTCCTTGGCCTGCCAAAGTGTTGAGATTCCAGGCATGAGCCACCGCGCCCAGCCTGAAATATTTCTTAAAGGAATACTTCCTAAATGAATGTTTAAATGAATGTTTACTTCCTAAGCACTCCAGCCTTGGAGTTAACATTGGACACCGGAATCAAAAGCTAAAGTTTTTATGTTTATAACTTTTCATTGGGTTACATAAAAAGTTTACTTAAAAACTCAAGCACTTCTTATGTTGAGACAGTATTCCCCAAATTGATCATAAAAAACATGTTGATCATCACTAAAATACAGATTTCCAGGTCATTGTCTTGACATACTAATTCAGTGTCTGTTACAGATCCCAGAACTAAAATTTTTTTTTTAAAAAAAACCAGGATTTTCTAAAACACTACCTGAAGACATACTAACTCTAAGGGAGAAAATGAATATATTCAATAAAGTAATAAAACTGATACTGAGGGAGAAATCCAGTAATATTAAACATTATAAAGATGGAGAAAATAGACACAAATTCTTAGTGTATACTTAAGCTTATAGTAAGTTGCATAAAATAATTGGACCATTAAAAGATAAAGTATAAAGAAGCAAACATTTATAAATATATTTTTTAAATTTCATAATGAGAACTTCTGTAATGCCTTTCAATGGTGGTTGATTTATCTAGCACCAACGTCAAGGGACTTGATTAATGTTGAATTTTATTTTTTAATGTAAGGTTGGTGTTTCAACTTCAGTCATTGTTTTCTCCTAAAATTTATTGAGGAATTTTATTTTACTCTATATAAATATTAATCAATTAACCTCTCAGTATTTTATGGATGCTAGCAGAAGACTTGAGGCTTTTGGGACAGAGACAAAGCATTTTATTACTTATGATAAAGCAAGTAGCAGGAGCATAGGAGCATCCGTTTGTGTATCAGCACCCTGTGCCGAAAGCCACATAAGGGTGGCATAATTTGTGACCGGATAGATAGATGCCTGCACAGGCAATGGTTTATGTTCTAGAACAGAAGCACTGAACTTCAGTAATCTGCCATTTTATAGCAAGCAGTTAGTAAGCCTGCTCTTTGTCCTGCATGTAGGTTGACAAATGTAAACACAACTCTGAGAGAATGCCAGAGAATAAATGGTCAAGGACTTGCTTGTTGGCATACCCAACAAGACATGGAGGAGTACATGTGTTCCATGGAATACTGTGTCTCCCAAAATGTTCACTCCGCCAGGTCCTATAACAATGTTGTATATACAACTCTATTCTTCAGCCCCACACTATAAAGCTGGTGTAATATCCACATACATACACACAAACACATGTGTTCCTGTTACTCACACAATGGTGGGACCAACCACTTACAGGTGGCCACAAACAAGGAGGATTTAACAAGGGGATTGTATTACTTGCAACAAGTAAAGAGGGCACTGAGGATAGTTCCCAAACAGTGCCTCCCCAGGCAACAAAAGTAGAAACAGGGCTTTTATTGGTTAGCTGAGTTATTGTATGTGGAGATGGAGTAAAGGCTACAGAGGTGCAGTCATCAGTCATGTTACTACTTACACTGTGTGTATAGAAAATAGCAATAAGTTCCTCCCTGGGTGGACATTTTAGTGTGATTATGAGGAGATTTTGCCAAAATTTATCTCCAACTCAGACATCTAGGGCTTCAATTAGTTTTTTTATTTTTTTTTCCAGGGCTGAATATTCTTCCTGGAACTTTTTGAAACAAGAACTCAGTGTGCAACAGTTAAATTGGATAACTTTTTCACAGCGCGTATCCCAAAACCCTGGGACCCTAGGTTACATGCCATTTCCACATCTCCTCTTTTCCCACTACTTTGTTATTTACTGATTGGGTAGAGAAAATGAGACTGTTTATTAAAATTCACACATACATAGAGACTTTATTTAAACATAGGTGTGTGTAATTTTCAATCAAAATGGTGTCTAGTGTTTTGCTTTGTTCCCAGTACAATAAATTATGTATATTTAATAATTTTAAAAAATAAAACCAATGATGGATACTCTTAAGGTTTAGGTTAAGATTCCAAATGCTACTAATCAAGGTTTGAAACAGACAGTTCCTTTAAAGGGATAAACAGGCAACTCATGTAAAACATACGCTAACTGGAGTAACATAGGCTCTGACAATTAACTAAATAAAGAAAATGGCATCATGGAGGGTAGATGTTCAGAATCCAGAAGCAAATTTGGAGAAATATTATTGTGATATATAAGAATGCAGAAAAAAAATTCAGGAAATGCAAAAATGATCTGTAAAATGGTAAATGTTTTAAAGAAATTATACCATATGCATGGAACATTTTAATGACTTGTAGATATCTCCTCATATGCAAGGTATCATTCTGGTTGCTATTTGCTAAGTGGCAAGAGATAGCACCCTCTCAGTGGAAGAGTAGGGAAAGGGGAGTCACTGTATTCTCACTTCTCATGTACACCAGCTAACTAATTTTGGAGCAACTGACAAAATATTATCAAGCTGCAATGTTAAAGAAAAAAGAGATCCCATTTGTCAATTTTGTCTTTTGTTGCCATTGCTTTTGGTGTTTTAGACATGAAGTCCTTGCCCATGCCTATGTCCTGAATGGTATTGCCTAGGTTTTCTTCTAGGGTTTTTATGGTTTTAGGTCTGACGTTTAAGTCTTTAATCCATCTTGAATTGATTTTTGTATAAGGTGTAAAGAGCTTCTGTACAGCAAAAGAAACTACCATCAGAATGAACAGGCAACCTACAAAATGGGAGAAAATTTTTGCAACCTACTCATCTGACAAAGGGCTAATATCCAGAATCTACAATGAACTCAAACAAATTTACAAGAAAAAAACAAACAACCCCATCAAAAAGTGGGCGAAGGACATGAACAGACACTTCTCAAAAGAAGACATTTATGCAGCCAAAAAACACATGAAAAAATGCTCATCATCACTGGCCATCAGAGAAATGCAAATCAAAACCACAATGAGATACCATCTCACACCAGTTAGAATGGCAATCATTAACAAGTCAGGAAACAACAGGTGCTGGAGAGGATGTGGAGAAATAGGAACACTTTTACACTGTTGGTGGGACTGTAAACTAGTTCAACCATTGTGGAAGTCAGTGTGGCGATTCCTCAGGCATCTAGAACTAGAAATACCGTTTGACCCAGCCATCCCATTACTGGGTATATACCCAAAGGACTATAAATCATGCTGCTATAAAGACACATGCACACGTATGTTTATTGCGGCACTATTGACAATAGCAAAGACTTGGAACCAAGCCAAATGTCCAACAATGATAGACTGGATTAAGAAAATGTGGCACATATACACCATGGAATACTATGCAGCCATAAAAAAGGATGAGTTTATGTCCTTTGTAGGGACATGGATGAAATTGGAAATCATCATTCTCAGTAAACTATCACACGAACAAAAAACCAAACACCGCATATTCTCACTCATAGGTGGGAATTGAACAATGAGAACACATGGACACAGGAAGGGGAACATCACACTCTGGGGACTGTTGTGGGGTGGGGGGAGGGGGGGAGGGATACCATTGGGAGATATACCTAATGCTAGATGACGAATTAGTGGGTGCAGCACACCAGCGTGGCACATGCATACATATGTAACTAGCCTGCACAATGTGCAGATGTACCCTAAAACTTAAAGTATAATAATAAAAGAAAAAAAAATTAAAATAAACTTAAATTTTTTACAATTAAAAAAAAAAAGAAAAAAGAGAACAGTGATTGATGTTAACAACTGTAGATTTCCTAACACTATTATACATTTTCCTCCTTTGATATGTTCTCTCCTTATACCTCTAAATGTAGGCATTATCCAAAGTATGACTGTTTTTGTTTGTATTACCTCCAAACGACTCTTTGAGAAAAATATAAAGACCAACTATAATTATCTACATGTAGCCTTCTCAATTCACCTGTGATATTATATTTTGTCTTCGGTGACAGTTAATTTTACGTATCAACATGGAGCGTGTTTGGGCATAAAGCTAACACTTCATTTGGTGAATTCTGAGTAAAGCAGATTGCTCTCCACAATCTCGGTGAGCCTTTCAATCAAATGAAGACCAGATTAGAACAAAAAGACTAGTTTCCCTAAGCAAGAGGAAATTGTCTAGAAGAGTGCTGTACTAGTCCCTTCTCACACTACTATAAAGGATTACCTGAGACTAGGAAATTTATAAAGAAAAAGAGGTTTAATTGACTCACAGTTCCGCAGGCCATATGGGCCATATGCATCTGAGGAGGCCTCAGGAAACTTAACAATCATGGCAGAAGGCGAAGTGGAAGCTGGCATGTCTTACATGGCTGGAGCAGGAAGAAGAGAGAGCGAAGGGGGAAGTGCTACACACTTTTAAACAACCAGATCAGATTAGAACTCACTCACTATCACAAGAACAGCAAGGGGGAAGTCCACCCCCAAGATCCAATCACCTCCCACCAGGCCCTCCTCCAACACTGGGGATTACAATTCAACATGAGATTTGGGTGGGGACACAAATGCAAACCATATCAACTGCCTTCCAACTGAACAGCACCATTGGCTCTTCTGGCTCTCCAGCTTGCCAGCATGTTCAGGCCTGAACTGCACCATTAACTATCCTGGATCTTGGGCCTGCCAGCCCATGCTGCACACTGCAGATTTTTGACTCACTAGCCTCCATAATTTCCTAAGACAAGTCCTTATAATAAATCTTCATACACACACATACAGACACATACACACATACACATCCTATTGGTTCTGTTTCTCTAGATAAATGTGATCAGTATATCTTCTTTTTTCAGATTTCAAATTTCCATAACATATTTTAGTGAGCATTGTCAGAGTTTTCGCTAATGAGGTTAGATTAAAGATGAACAAGCCTGTATTTGTCCTGTGCAAGATACTATGACTGATTTGTGGTGAAAGAAAATTATTTGAAGCTCTACAGTTTTTAATATAGAAATTATAAATTCTGGACTTTTTGATTTGATCCTAAGAAAACTGTAGTGAAGCTAGAGACCTCATCTTCTAGTTAGCAGT
Source organism: Homo sapiens (assembly GCF_000001405.40). Classification (NCBI taxonomy): domain Eukaryota; kingdom Metazoa; phylum Chordata; class Mammalia; order Primates; family Hominidae; genus Homo; species Homo sapiens. The sequence goes on from NC_000013.11 coordinate 81,078,664, forward strand.
TGTTAGTGAATAAATATTAGTGAGATAAAAGAAGCTGTACAAAGATGCAGCAAGAAAAGTAATTTGTTTTTGCATCTATAAAATGAACCTGATATTGCATAATTCATAGGAATATTGAGAGCATTTAGATAAGAAATAGAGATACACATAAAAAAACTTCACATGAACATTCAAATGGAGAGTATGATTTTTATTTTAAATTCAGATTATTTAAGAATATTCATTTTCTATTATCTGACTTTCTTTATTCTAGGATACAGACGTAGTAGTGAACAAAACAAAATCCTCACACTAATGTACATATATTTAAAATAATCCTTTTTAAAAATTACTGTTTCAGATACATTTCTAATAATTGAATTTAAACACAATGATTCACAATAAACAGTGCAGTTACTCAAATACATTAAAGGAATAGTATTAACAATACACTGTCATTACCATATTTTTTCCAATATCAGACAACTATTTTGAGGATTTAGATAATTCATACACACACACACACACACACACACACACACACACATATGGAATGTTTTGCATATTTTCTGGCAGATCAGAGCTACTCATACATACAAATAAATACTACCTTTATTTGCATGTGTGACAGAAGGCAGAATGAAACCAGTTGTATGTATGTAAGCCAAATTGACTTCTTAAAATATCTGTAAATAATTAAATATTCTAGTTTAGTGTAGTTATAGTCTATATTCCAGTAATAGGAAAACAACATCTAACCTCCATCTTTAAAATGTGGATAGAATAAAATAGTAATTTTGGGAACCCCCAGTTAAACTGGGGTTCCAATACCAGATTAGCTAGCAACCCTGCCCTAAGGAAAATATAGGAGCAGAACATTAGCGTTTAGTGGACCTTCCTTGGGCTACATTTTTAACCTGGTGAATGGGCTAATGCCTATTTGTTGGACCTGTGATCGGGGGTTGGGGGGGCGGGTCCCTCACGTGGGAAACTTGTTTATACCGGAAGGTGTCCTTGTGACTCTTACCTGGACTCATGTGCTGTTTATGCCTGCCTGACCATCACTCTGGCTCTGGGAGCCTGCCTTTGTGTTCTCCTCAGCATCCTGGGGAAGCCCACAGTTCTTCAGATAGAAGGCACAAATTAAAAACACCACCACAATAGAAAACAAGCTCAAAGACTTTGTGCTTACAGATCCTGAGTAAAGAGAGTACAATCAGTAAGGAGGGCCTTCTTTCATCTGTCTGGGTCAGGAAGAGCCATCAGGAGCATACAGAGAGAGTGAGAAATAGCAGTCTAGTATATATGCGGGAATAGGGTTTGGGTCACTTTGTGCAAATGCCTAAATGATTCCTTTAAAGGAGTTGGCAGGAAAGCAGAAGCCCAGTGGACTGGGCAGAAGAGATGCCTCTAAGTTCTTATCTCTGGCTACCAGGCTTAGGCCATTTGCGTGTGGTGCAGAACTGGAAACTTTGTCGATGGTGACCAAGCCCTGCCTAGGAGAAAGTTAAACTTGTTTTCAAAATGGATGCTGAGGTGGGAAAATTATAAGAATTAACTACAATTGGTTACACGTCTTTATCACTAACTTCTATTTTCCTTCAAAAGTTAGGCTTGGGTATCTGTAGAATTAAACTTCAAAATTATGTTTATAAGGCTGTTAGTTTTGACCCATAGTTTCACTAATGCTGTGCTGGTAAATGTTCAACAACTGTTCTCTGAAGCCGATTTTAAGCTGTTTGCAGCTTTCTGTGGTATAAATACTCAAACCGTGGGCAATTTCAAGCAACAAACGTATCATTGCTGAATGTGGAGTTAGGAAGAGATGCATAAAATTTGCTCCTGTGAGGCTGTATGAACTGGCTTCAGGATATCACCCACTTCTATCTAGAGGCCACCTTAAATATAAACAGATATGTAAGTACACAAATTTATATTAAAGTAAGCTGGATTTATTATTCGTATTAGGTTGTTGCAAGAATAATCGCGTTTTTTTGCGATTATTTTTAATAGTATGTATTTTGTTAAATGTAAATTCCTCTCAGGGATTAATTGCCTGCTTCTTGTTTTAATAAATTTTCAAATCCTCTGTGTTCCACATGTAAAAAATTTCCCTGTTGCAAACTACAGGTTTCAACTCTGATACAAGAATCTAAGGGGCATAAGTAAAAAATAATGAGTGAGAGATGGTGCCAAAGACAATACATCTATCTTTGTAGAAGAGATTCTAAAAAGCAGAGCCTGAAACAACAGATGAGAAAAGATCTGAGAGTATCTTTAGAAAAAAATGTGTAAAAACCTGTCATTTTCTTTAATGTTTTAATATAAAACGCTGCTTTGAATAAAAGCATAAATACATTCCTCCAGATTAGTAAATTTTCCTAAGAGGTATCATCAATCACATGTGCTCTTTTCAAGAAATAATTAGATTATCTTATGTAAAGTGAGTAGAAAAGTCATTTTTTTCTGCCTGCGGTCAGTATATGTCAATTCTCACATATTATATATGATTATATTGAACTCAAGAGGTTTTAAAACAACAGAGAATAAGATTTGGAATTTGGAAAGAGAGAAGGAAAAAATCTCTTAAGTTGCCAGTTGTATTGGAAGTTCACTTTATAACTCCAACTTGATTTAATTTTGAATGTCCTTGTGCCTTGGAATTGAATTCAGAGGCAAGAAAGCTAGCAATTTACATAATGGAATCTCTCTGGATAAAATCCTTGAGGACATGCTATATTCTAATTGTCACTTCTCTGTTGAAATTTCCTTTTACTATGCCTCAGATGACAGTTATAAATGCAAGAACAATTAAATTGTTTTAAGGAAGAGGCATAGAGGCTGACATTTGATTTAGAATCCCTGAGAATTAAGAAAACTCACCTGGTGATAATATGTCCCCTTTGCACACTAGTAAATTGACCAGTAGTGGGTCCCCAATATAATCTGGTGATTAAATTTTATTGACACTTCAGGGGAAACATTTGTAGGCATCTAGACATTATCATTGTTAGCTCACAGGTGTTTGCACCTATTATTTTTAATAAAAATAATGTAAAGAAACATGGCATTACTCATAAAAATCCTGTGACTGTCTATTCCCATTTCTTTCCATTTTGTATTGTCATAGAATGTCTGATAATTTTATGCTTTAAAAGGACTGAACTAGAATTATGCTATTATTAATTTTAACAATCAAGTTAAAGTGAATGTTTTGTGAAACCCAAAGCTGTTTCAAGAGTGGGTAGTAAGAAATTTTAATGTCTGAAGCCATACGTAAAATAGGCCATACCTAACTTCTATCTCTATGATAAGAACTTTTCTATTTACTTTGAATTAGGTTTGGCTCAACAAAGCATTACTGGGCACAATTTTTGTGCTAAGATGCATGGTACATAAACCAACATATTTGACAGAGAATAACAGTACTATAGTGGTACATTTTCTCACACTTAATAATATAAAACTTCTGCAGGCTAAACAGGTAATACAGAAGGCAGGTTGATTACATTTGTGTGTTTGTGTGTGTGCGCAAGTGTATCTGTGCACAAATGTTAAGATTCAATTGAAAAGGTGATGTCAGACAAGCCTTTGGATGGAGCAATAATTGTACTGACACACTTATTTGGTGAAGAGGTGTGGAGGACAGTAGATACATTATTACATTAAGTACCTCATGGAATCATTTCCCTTCTTTATAATGGTTTATTCTTCTTCTGCAAAAAGTTTATTTAAATTTATTAATTAGGATTTTGGAGAGGCAAAATAATTCCATCTGTACATTTTTATGAAAGCCTCACTACCTTGGTATTTCTTTACCCTTGAGGATTGTCTTAGGACCAAATCCAAAAACATATGCATAAATAAAATCCAGTGACCCTCCCTGCCCAAAACAAAATAAGCAACAATATTTTTTCAGATATATCTTTGCAGTCATTTTTTCAAGAAACAGGAATTTACGAGAGCAAGATATGTATACCAGTGATGGTCACACTAATAGGGTAGACATTTTATAGGAAGAGGAAACTACATTTTTCTCCATAAAATTAAACTTCAGTTATGTAGTGATACTAGAATGCTTTCATTTAGTGACAAATAATCTTATAAAAATAATAATGAGTACATTTGTCAAGAGCTTACCATGTGCCAGGTGTTGTTCCATTGTTATTCACATAAATTCACTTATTGAAGCTTGATGGCAACCACTCATATAGGTATTATTATTATTCCCCGTATTTAAAGAGGAAATCAAAACACAGAAAGGTGAACTGATTTGCCCCAGGCCCTACAGGTGATACATGGCAGAGTCCAGATCTCAACTCACAGATTAACCACTCTGCTATTGAATGTTTCATGACCATATACACAAATGTCCTTGGGCCTTCTGCTGCAATCCCAAGAGTGGAAAATCGACTCTAAGAACATAGTTAATAGCATCATTTTAATTACTTGGCTGACCTTTAAATTATAGTAGATACAACATTTTTAGGCAAATACAATTAAAGTACATGCAGCATCAAGTGTCTGTTTTTTTTAACACCTGTATAATCAGCCTTTGCCTGCCATATGGAAAGTGCGTGATTATTTTTCGCTGAATAGATGAGATGGATGTCATGTTAATCCCACATTGATTCATTTATTTACTGGTTATTTTTTCACATGCTTGTTGTTCATTGAGTCTCAGCACAGGTTAGGTATTATACTATGCACTTAGAATGTAGAGACTAATATATGAACCAAGCCTCAAGGAGCTCAAAATCAAGTGCAAGTAGACACAGATGTCACCTAAATGTGATAAATACTAAAGTTATTGAATACGTGTTTACTGATGCTTCTCAGAGAAATCTGAGTCTCTTGTGTGAATATATTGGGGTGTGAGCCTAGTTTTTTAATGTTAGAAGTGTTTCAAATAACTGAATAAAATCATATTGGAGAAGAGGTATACTCCTAGCCAATGATGACATTACATTGGCTACGTGATAGTGAACGAACTTTACAAAGAACTCAATACTTGAGCTATACACAGAGTCCTAAAAACTGTACCAGAAGCCATGGAAGAGTTAAAGCAATTTCCATAGTAAATAATTTAAGTGCAACATTTTGGATTGGTATTGACAACCTAGAAAGTTGTGCAGTATTGCATTTCCTTTGGTTTGAAATTAAAGTATTATTTCCCAAACCAGTAAATATTAAATTATTGAAATCATTGAAGTAAAATTGAGCAACCTGACATGCTCAGGAGAAATTTGAATCAAGGAAGTAACTCCATGATATTTCAAAATGTGGCATAAAGTGAAGATGATATCTTTCTATATAAGAGAAAATACACTAAAAATTTCAATTTGTTCTCTGACAAGAAAATAATAATAAAATACTGGATAACAAATGAGGTCATTTTTCTTCAAGAAATTGTTTTTTTTTCCTCAGATTATCTTGTGTAAAACTGACCTCTAATATGTATTAATGATGCCTCATAAATAAAATATAACGGGAGAGAAATGAAAACAGAGCTTCTTGTAGAAGCTCATCTCATTTTCTATCCTAGGTAGTGAGCTTTTTTCCCTCCACATCCATCTTCTGTGATTCTAAAGAGAATAATAAAATACTGTTCTGTAATTAGGGAATGGTTTTTAAATATGTTTTGAATTCCTGTGAATGTGAGGTGTTATATTTACTGTACTGTAGTATACAAGGCTAAAATTCCCTCTGGCATTCTTGTTTATGTCTCCCCTGTTGTCTTTGGGTTTTTAGAGACTCTTTTTTTTTTTTTTTTTTTGAGACGGAATTTTGCTCTTGTTGCCCAGGCTGGAGTGCAATGGCCTGATCTCCACTCACTGCAACCTCCGCCTCCCGGGTTCAAGCGATTCTCCTGCCTCAGCCTCCCGGGTAGCTGGGATTACAGGCATGCACCACCACACCTGACTAATTTTGTATTTTTAGTAGAGATGGAGGTTTCTCCATGTTGGTCAGGCTGGTCTCGAACTCCCGACCTCAGGTGATCTGCCCTTTTTGGCCTCCCAAAGTGCTGGAATTACAGGCATGAGCCACTGCGCCCAGCCGAGCCTCTTTCTTAAATAAGGTATGGGAGGCTTGCAGTTCTTTGAACTGTAATGTAGTTGTTCATTACCTTCTCTTATCAGTCTTTTGATTTTGGCATTGTCTGTAGTTATATCCCCTGTTTATCTCTGATATTAGTAATTTGTAAGCTTTTTATTTTATTCCTCATCAGTGGTGCTAGATATTGTCAATTTTATTGAACTTTTCAAAAATCCAGATTTTTGTTTCACTGATTTTATGTATTACTTTTCTGTTTTTTGTTTCATTTATTTCTGTTCTTTTTTTATTATTTCCTTCCTTCTGCTTGCTCATGGCTTATTTTGCTCTTCTTCTTTTTCTAGGTTCTTGAGATAGGAGTTTAGATTATTTATCGGAGATATTTTCTATTTTCTAATGTAAGCATTTAATACTATCAATTTTTTCTCTCAGCACTGCTTAAATTGTGTCTCATCAATTTGGATATGTTGTATTTTTAGTTTATTTTACTTAAATATATGTATTTCCTTTGAGGATTCCTCTTTGATGCATAGAATTTTTAAAAAGCATATTGTTTATTTTCAAGTGTTTAGAGATTTGTCCTTTTTTTTCAATTACTGGTTTGATTTTATGGTGGTTAGAACATGCTCTGTAGGACTATAATTTTCAAATTTGTTGAAGTTTGTTTTATGGCCAAGAATATGACCTGTTTTGGTATATGTTTCATTAGTGCTTTAAAAGATTACATATTTTGTTATTATAACATGTAGTGTTCTGTAAATGTCAATTAGATACTATTGATGGATGGTGTTATTGATTTCTTCTATATTCTTGCTAATTTTTATCTGGTTGTTCTATCTTGAATCCTCCATTACCCTGTCTTGTGATTTAGGAAAAAAAAAATACCTAATTTCTGAAACTCACTTTTTTTTTCACATGTAAATGGGCTATAGAATATTCACTTTTCAGGATACTTAAGAAAAGCAAATAAATATAAAATAAGTGGCATATACAGAGACTTTAAATAATTATAGACTGTATTATTTTCATCTCTAGGATTTGGGAAATAAAGCAATAACTATCCTGAAATGGAATTACTCTCTGATATATTCTCCCAATCTTATTTCTGTAGATAGTCAGGCCATTACACTCAATTTCTCCCAAAAGTTAGTTAAAATACTACTAATAATTACATATTACTGTTTGGAACAATCTTTGCTTTGCATTAGGAACAAAATAAGGATATGGTCCACAAAGAAGAATAACTTATAATCTAGCTGGAGCAAACAGCATGGGCAGAGAACAGTAAAGAAAAGTAAAATAATTTTTATAAGTAAAGTGTTCTTTTAGAAAAGTAAAAAGCAATTATTTATACCTTGATTAAATTAAAAATGGTGTCATGTAGAGGCTGGTATTCCAACTATTTCTTAAAGAGTGAATAAAACTATTTAAGACAGACAAAGAGATAGTGATATTGCAAATGAAAAAGGTATACTGGGTATAGCAAACAATCATTATTTTGTCTACAGTATATGGTAAAATAGAGCGATAATATAAAATGTGTTTGAAGAATTAGTATAGTGTGAAAAAATTGTTATTTAATATACCATGCTAAGAAGTTTTGGCATTAATCATAAAAGAAAAAGGGAAGGTCATAGAAAGCTTGACAGCAGGTAACTGAGAATAGTATTTTAATTATAATTTACTAGTTTGAAAAGCTATGAAAAAGTAAAAATTAGTACCACAAATAAGCACTTTTAAAAATTACAGGATTAAAACAAAGTAATTTATAGAGAGATGATTTTGATCTAGTGGTATACAAAATTGACAGCATCTTCATAAAATGTTCTTATTTTAGTAATCATGCTTTGAAACCACTAATTGGCTTATATACTTATACACTATAAGGTGATCTAACACTGTTTTCTTATTTGAACACTTCAGTAAATTAAAAAGCTAAGCATGTTACCTGAAATCATGGCTGTTTTGCAGACATGGAAATGCAAACAACATGGCTATTTTGAACTCTTGTGTTTGAATCACTAGATTACTTCACTTAAAATAAAACAATATGATGCATTTTTAAATACTTTATTCAAAATGGTCTTACTTACTCTAGCTGTATAAGTAAGAGCATGGCATAAAAATCAGTTGATGACAGGCTTTCATGCACTCTATGTGCAGAAATTGTTTCTTCCTTCTTTTTTTTTTTAACAGAGAATAGCAGTAAAATAAAGAAGATAGAATTTAATGGATAAAATACCTAAATTTAAGACCTGTGATTATATCACGCCTGTAATCCCAGCACTTTGGGAGGCCGAGGCGGGCGGATCAAGAGGTCAGGAGATCGAGACCATCCTGGCTAACACGGTGAAACCCCGTCTCTACTAAAAATACAAAAAATTAGCCGGGCGTGGTAGCGGGCGCCTGTAGTCCCAGCTACTCGGGAGGCTGAGGCAGGAGAATGGCGTGAACCTGGGAGGCGGAGCTTGCAGTGAGCCGAGATCGCGCCACTGCACTCCAGCCTGGGCGACAGAGCGAGACTCCGTCTCAAAAAAAAAAAAAAAAAAGACCTGTGATTATAAAACTCCCAGAAGAGAACATTGGTGAAAGGTTCTTTGACGCTGGCCTTGGTAATAATTTTTTGGATATCACACAAAAAACTCAGACTACAAAAGCAAAACTAAATTAATAGGACTACATAAAACTAAAAAGCTTCTCCACAGCAGAGAAAATCATCCACAAAATGAAAAGGCATCCTATGGACTTAAAAAAAAATATTTGCAAACCACATATATAGTAAGAGGCTAATACCACAAATTTATAAAGAACTCTTAAAACTCAATAGCAGGAAAGCAAATAACCTAGTTAAAAAATGGACGAAGGTTATGAACTGACATTTCTGCAAAGAAGACATAAAAATGGCCAGCAGGTATATGGAAGGCATTTAACCTCATGAATCGTAAGGCACATGGAAATTAAAACCAATATAAGCTATTACCTCACACCATTAGAATGGCTATTACCAAAAAGACAAGAGAAGACAAATGTTGGCGAGGTTGTGGAGAAAAGGGAACCCTCATATGCTGTTGGTGGGAAGGTAGACTGGTACAGCCCTTATGAAAAAGACTATGGAGATTCCTAAAGAAATTTAAAATAGAATTACCATATGATACAGCAATCCTTCTTATGCTTATATATGCAAAGGCAACGAAATCTCTATGGTAAAGATACCTGCACTTTTATGTTCATTGCAGCATTAATCATGATAGCCAAGATATGGAAGCAACCTAAATGTTCACAGATGGACCAATGGATAAAGAAAGTGTGCTATATATAATCAATAAATATTATTCAGCCTTAAAAATGAAGGAGATACTGCCTTTTGCCACAACATGGATAATTTGGAGATGATAAGTGAAATAAGCCAGAAACTCAAAGATAATGCATTATCTCATGTATATGTGGAATCTGGGAAACAAAAAAATTCAGATATACAGAGATAAAGAATAAAACCATGGTTACCAGGAGTGGAAGGTGGGAGGAAGGGTGGGAAAATGAGGAGATGGAGGTCAAAATAGTAGATATGTAGCATAAATACGTCTAGAGATCTAATGTACAACATTGTAACTATGGTTAATACAGTTGTATTATGTTAGAGATTTTTGTTAAATAAGTAGATTTTGCTGCTCTTGTCACAAAAAATAACTATAACATGACAGCTATGTTAATTTGCTTCACAATAATAAACATTTTACTATCTATAGGTATCCCATAACATTATGCTATAAAGCCCAAATATATACAATAAAATTTATTTATTAAAAAAATATGTTAAATCTAATCAAGGCAAAAAAAGTAAAGAAGATAAGATTTGGGAAAATGAGTGATATACATTTTAAACCCTGAGTTACTTTAACGTATCTGGCTTTGGGGAAAGCAAATATTTTCTTTGAGCCTTATTTTCCTCACCTTTCAAGTGCAGAAATTAATACTTGCTCTCAAGGTAGGTGTAAATATCAAGAAAGGTGTTATGATATATATCTTTTTTTATTATTGGTAGTTAATTCTCTACATAGTTTTTGCAACATTTTTACTACCAATGAATTTCTTCTGTATCACATTCTTGATCCACATTTTGCTGAGAAAGGATAGTTCTCTTTCCTGCTGCTGAAGTGACTGGTCCAATTGTTGCGTTATTACTTTCTAGTCGTGAATCCGAAAAATCTGAGACCGGTCTCAGTTAATTTAGAAAGTTTATTTTGCCAAGGTTGAGGACGCGTGCCCGTGACACAGCCTCAGGAGTCCTGACAACATGTGCCCAAGGTGGTCAGAACACAGTTTGGTTTTATACATTCTAGGGAGACATGAAACATGAATCAACATATGCAAGATGAACATTGGTTTGATCTGGAAAGGCTGACAACTCGAAGCAAAGGCGGGAAAACTTGAAACGGGGAGGTGGCTTCCAGGTCACAGGTAGATAAGAGACAAATGGTTGCATTCTTTTGAGTTTCTGATTAGCCTCTCCAAAGAAGGCACTCAGATATATATTTATGTCAGTGGGCAGAGGGGTGACTTTGAATAGAATGGGAGGCAGGTTGGCCCTAAGCAGTTCCCAGCTTGACTTTTTCCTTTAGCTTTGGGGGCCCCAAGATTTATTTTCCTTTCACACCGTTTATGATTTTGACATGTTTCTCATACTTAATTTGACCATGTTTCTTCTAACAAATATATTCTATTTTTATTTCATTATTTGGCCTGTATTTCACCTCTAAATGAGAATCTTTTCAAAACTGACCAAGTGGCTGTAACCAATACATTAGTGACGCTGTGCTCCTATTTAAAACTATTCTTACTGGAAAATGAAGTGCACATTCCGATGTGAACAGCTTTTTCAACTTCAAGCCAGGAATCTGATTCTCTACAGGATATTTAAAATTCCAAACTAATAATCTTATCTATCACATATTAGGAACTATATAAAAAGAAACTTAAGCAAAACTTTAGCTCTGAAATAAATTTCCCAATTCACCACTCCTGTCTGCTATGATCCTATTTTTTATCCTCTTTGTTTTGGTTGTTATTTTGGTTTTCTGGTCTGTCTTCATCCTTGATTCTTGGCTGCATTTTTCCCAGCACTGAAGCTAGCTGAGGTCAGTATGGATTTGAGTTACATTGTTTCCATTCTGTCTTTTCTTGTCTACAGCAAACAGCTGTAGATCTCTGTAGTCCTAGAATAGTCTGATCCTAGCAAAGTACCTTACGCAAGGCATTGTTAATGGGTTACCTTAGCCGCATGAACAATGACCACATAGCTATAAAACCACCATGCCATGACTTTCTTTTTGGTCCATGCATCAAAGTTATGGTGATGCTCTGTTGTTTGTCATACTACTAAGATAGCTTTTCTTCATTTGCTATTTATAGCCTTTAACATATGCTAAATTTAGAGAATTGTTTTTCTCCAATTTACAGAAATATCTCTGATATAAATGCTTGAGTTTGAGGAAAAATTCTCTATCAATGCCCAATTATATTTGTGTAAGCAGTAAATCTGTTTTATTCGTTGGTTACTACTTCAGTATAAGTTTGATATTTTATATACAGAGAATAACAAAGCTCTATAATTTTTGCTTAATGTTATAATTCTAAGTAGGCATTGTAGGAAATCTAAACTGTAATAAATTTAGTGCTCTTTATTATATGTATTTGTCATGATTATCACTTACTGTTCATTGATTGCAGTGCTTTGAAAATCTCACAAGGATCTTTGAGTGATCTGAGTGATGGTTAAATAACAAACATATCTTAATTTATATTGCTTTAGGGTTCATAAAACATTTCAGATACATTATTTCATTTAATTTGATCCTTTGAAAAACACTGCCCAAAAAAGAGAGAGTAGAGAGAGAGCATATATTTAGAAAGTTTATTTTGCCAAGGTTAAGGACATGTGCCCGTGCCACAGCCTCGGGAGTCCTGACAGCATGTGTCCAAGGTGCTCAGAGCACAGTTTGGTTTCATACATTCTAGGAAGGGCATTCTTATAGGAATATATGCTTTCTCTTCACACACACACACACACACACACACACACACACATTATATATTATACACAAAAATTGAAACTCACTGATTATTTTACCAAGGTCACTCAGTTAATGAGAGAGAAACTGATAAATACACCTACACTCACCAATTTCAATTCCAGTGTTTTCCCAATATTGCTATATTTCATTATGTAAGGGATAAGGAAGAGTTGTAAGATGTTGCAAAGACCTTGCTAAGTTGTGCTAAGTTGTACAGTTATAAACTGGGCTTGTTTATCCACTTGTGGGTTGCAAAGCTAAGTCTTTTCTTCTTAAAGACTTTCATGAGTTTCTCAAATATATTCTAGGAGTCAGTCTCTCTTTTGGGACAATTCAAACACATGATGTCTTTGTCTATACCAATGCAAATGAAAATACGGACCTCTGTACAACTTTCAGTATAGATGTAATTGAGCTGAAATAGCCTTATTCTACTCAGCCACATAAGTCCGACCTATTCTCAGAGTCTAATCATTAGAGTTCTACCAACAAATATTGGTCACCTGTGGTATAGTCAAAAGTATAGGGCCATTTGAGATTTATTTGAGGTGGCTTTGGTGGAGATTCAGAGCCAGTTATCCAATGGCAAAAGTGCCAGCAATAGTTCCCTGGGAACATTTTTCTGGTTATAGGATCTTGACTCTACCTTCCTCCCTTGGTTCTAGATCAAACCCAGTTCTGTGAATTACTTAATATCCTTTCATAAAAATATATTTTAGTATAAATTAACAGTTTCTGGTTCTGCTTTCCTTTTATTCACCAAGAAATATAATACAAACAGTCTTATAATAGGAGAATTAATGAATGACTAAAATAAAAACTTTATACAACTTTCCAATGTTTTTAAATATTTGTTTTACTTATCTTAATTGTTACAAGGTTATTGTATGGTACATTTGCGAACCATCATTCTGGGTGTATTATTTCCTACTGTGAGAGAAAATACAGTAAACTAACACAGTAATTCACTTACTTTAATTCAGTTACTTCAGTTCAGTTGCCTTTTTTGTTGTTATTGTTGAGATAGGGGCTTACTCTGTCACTCAGGCTGCAGTGTAGTTGTGTGAATGGCTCACTGTTGCCTCAGTCTCAGGCTTCAGCCATCCTCCCACCTGAGCCTTCCGCGTAGCTGGGACTATAGATGTTCATCACGACACCCAGCTAATTTTTTATTTATTTATTTTAAAAAGCAAGATCTCATTATGTTGCTCAAGTTGATCTTGAACTCCTACGCTCAAGCAATCCTCCTACCTTTGTTTCCCAAAGCACTGGACTTCCCAGCGTGAGCCACTGTGGCCTGCTAGTTTCTTATTTTATTCCTGTCAATTACCATTATTTATATAAAGTATATTGGCCTGCATCTTAATTTCTAGGGATAGCAAGCAGTTCAAATAAATAAGATAATGTTAAACCTAAAAGCTCATAAATTAAAGTCATGGAATTAAGACAGTACGATTATGTTTATTAAATATATCACAAAATACAAACAGAATTTGAGAAGAAAATCTGTGCATACTAGTTGCTATGTAGACAAATGGGCACGTGCCATTGTCACAAAACTGAAATAACTGTATTACTGCTGAGACTTGTAAAGAGGAAAAATATTCAGCTTTTCAAGTGACCTTTAAGAAAATTTTATAGCCTAGAAACAATGAGCTAATTTTACTAAATTTCTGTTCCCATGATAGTAGTCTTTTCCGAGACAAGTTTGAAAGTAGCTGTGACTTATATAATGTCAAGCCATTTAGAATCTATTCTCATTATAAATATATTTACAGCAAGTACAATAGACCAAAAAGTAATTGAAAAAGATTTTACATCTCTATTGAAGAAATTCAAAATGCCAAAAATGTGCTTTTAACACAGAGGAACTTCTTAATTCTTCTTCATATTATATATGCTACACATACTAGAGTTTCCCCAAATTTCTCTTTCCTTTTCAATCTCCTCTAAATTTTCCATCTATATCAGCCTGGATTGAATTCTAAATTTTTAGTCTATTCAGCTAACACTTCTAGATCTGTTCATTTGTTTTCTGTTCAGTAATATTCCCTACTTAAATAAATTCACCAGGTGAGCCTTAGAAATCTTCAATTCATCTCTTCAAATATTATCTTGATTTTGCGCATCAAAGTTTACAGAGAAAGCAAAAAATAATTCTCTTTAATCAGTACAGGAATAGACGATACTGAGAAGTCTTGCGGTAATACTGTTTTGTCATATTAGAAACAACAAATATTAATATAGAATAATGATTTTTATTGTTTTACCAATAATAATGGATTAAAATCATCTAGAGCAAGAACCACAATATAGGTCATTTAGTCCCTTCATAAATATAAAGAATTCTCTCTACTCCGTTTGTGTCTGTGTGTATTTCAATCTATTTAACTATCACTTCTGGACCTCTTCATTCGTTTTCCTGCCAGTAAATATGCCCTACTTAAATAATCCATTAAGTGAGCCTTAGAAATCAATTTATCTCCTCAAACATTATCTTGATTTTGCACATCAAAGATTTCAAATAGAGAAAGCAAAAAATATTTTTCCTTAATCAGTACAGGAATGGAAGAGACTGAAAAGTGATGCTGTAATACTTGTTTTGTCATATTAGGAACAATAAATATTAATATGGAATAATAATTTTTATTGTTTTACCAGTATTCGTGGGTTAAAATTATTTAGAGTAAGAACCTCAATGTAGTGTCATTTAGTCACTTTATAAATACAAAGAACTCTTTCTTCGTGTGTGTGTGTGTGTGTGTGTGTATGTATGTTGGGTTATGTATATACACACACACATATTTTAATAAACAATTATATTTTATTTTATTTAAAATGGTTTTAGATTCAGAAATAAGTTACAAAGATAGCAAAGACATACACCCAAAGCTTAGTTTCCCATACTTTCAGTATCTCATATTAATAAGGTATAATTGTCACTATTAATAAACCAATATGGATAACATTTTATTAACCAAAGTCCATACTTTTTTTAGATTACCTCAATTTCTCCAAATATTACTTTTCTGTTCTAGGATCTCATCCAGAATACACATTACCTTCACTTGTCATTCTCCTTTGGTTTTTTCTGACTATGACTATTTTCTCAGACTTTCCTTATTTTTGATGACCTGGAAAGTTTTGAGGAGTATTGATGAATATTTTGATGTTTCTCAGTTGGGATTTGTTTGGTGGTTTCCTGATGATTAGGTTGAGATTATGAGTTTGAGGGAAGAAAACCACTGAAATAAAGTGTCAATCTCATCACATTACATTAAGGATACATGCCATCAGTTTAATTTGTCACCTTTGAAGTTAAATTTGATCACCTATCTGAGATAGTATATTTGTTAGTTTTCTCAATTATCCAGATACTCTTTCCCTCTGCCCTTCCATGCTGTACATGTTGGAGCACAGTCCACTATTAAGGAATGGAAAGATATGTTGTGTCTCATTGTGAAGGTAGAATCTCTCTCTCTCTCTCTCTCTCTCTGTGTGTGTGTGTGTGTGTGTGTGTGTGTGTGTGTGTGTGTGT
Organism: Homo sapiens; assembly: GCF_000001405.40. Classification (NCBI taxonomy): domain Eukaryota; kingdom Metazoa; phylum Chordata; class Mammalia; order Primates; family Hominidae; genus Homo; species Homo sapiens. Next base: position 81,094,306 of record NC_000013.11, read on the forward strand.
TTGGGTCTCCCTCTCATACATTGTGTTGGGTTTAGCCATTGGAAGCTGTTTCTGTTGGCTCCTCTGTTTCTTTGAAATAGCCCAGTAATTACATTCTTTATTTTTGAGTACTTCCCTACTTTCTGATACTACAAGGTACTCTAAGCTCATCTTGTATATTCCTGCTAAAGCCCTAGATTGAACCACTTCTTTAAGGAGCTCAGCTTCCTTTTCTTGGCAAATGTTATTAGAAACCAGCATCTGGGCTCTGGATGTGTTAATTGCTACTGAGGTGTTATTGATTCTAGGACTTTCCAAATGACAGCAAGGAAGTTTATAAAACCCATGTATATACATATACTCATAAAAATTTCTGTGGATATCATCTGTATCTACATTACAGTAATAGTTTCTATGGATGTATTGATCCAGTATCACATGGTTTATTCCAGCTTTTCTCCCTTTCTTGTCTGTAATCTCCTATTCCAGAAGTGAGAAACTTGCTCCTACTATCCATCATGCATTTATGTCAATTCTGTTATATATGTATGTTTCAGGATTGTTAACCTAAATCATCACTGGGACTTTACCAAAACTTATATATGGTTCTTTTTGCTTTTAGTCTTTGAATCTTTGCTTATTTCCAAAGATAGTTTGGTCAGAACCTTCTCCCCCAACCTCCTTAAAAGAGGTTATTTCATGGATTTCTTACAGTGTTAGATTCTCTACTATTGTCTGTATTCCATCCTTGGACCTTCCAACCTCTTAAATGATTTTTTTTTATTTCACTTTATGAACACTTCCTCTTTGTCCTGTGAAATTCTGTGAGTTTTGACCATTACAGTTTCATACACATGAATTTACTACCCTAAAAAATACATTGTACTTCATCTACTCAACTGGCCTATACAAAAACCTCTGGCAAACACTTGTTTATTATATCGATTGTTTTTGTTTCTGCATAATGTCAAAATTGTGTGAGGTTTCAATGTGTGGTTTAATAGCTGATTCTTTTAGATCATTAAATAATATTCTATTGTTTGTTTAGCCAAATACCTATCAAAGAATGTGTTGGTTGCTTCCAGGTTTGGAGCTTATGAATAAATTTGATATAAACTTTAGAATGCAGATTTTTGTGTCAACATAAATTTTCTGATTGGGTAAATTTCTAGAAATGCAATTGCTGAATTATGTTAATTGAGATAATTTTTAGCTTTGCAAGAAATTGCCAAACTATTTTCTGAAGTGGCTGTGTCATTTTGCATCCTTGCTAGCAATGAACGAGCATTCTAGTTCTTCTGTATTCCTGTTAGAAATTGATAATAATTTTAGTTTCTTGGATTTTAGCCATTGTAATAGATCTATAGTAATATATTATTTTTGTTTTAATTTGCATTTTCTTAATGACAAGTTTTGTTAAAAATCTTTTTATATGCAGCTGGGCGCGGTGGCTCACACCTGTAATCCCAGCACTTTGGGAGGCCAAGGAGGTCGGATCTTGAGATCAGGAGATCGAGACCATCATGGCTAATACGGTGAAACCCGGTCTCTACTAAAAATACAAAAAAATTAGCTGGGCGTGGTGACAGGCGCCCGTCGTCCCAGCTACTCGGAGGCTGAGGCGGGAGAATGGGGTGAAACCAGGAGGTGGAGCTTGCAGTGAGCAGAGATCAGGCCACTGACTCCAGCCTGGGCAACAGAGTGAGACTCCATCTCAAAAAAAAAAAAAAAATTCTGTTTATGTGCTTATTTACCAATTGTATATCTTCTTTAGTGAGATGTCTTTTAATCTTTTGCCCTTTATCATTGTTTTTGTTTTGTTTTGTTTTTTGAGTTTTGACTTTTAAGAGTTCTTTGTAAATTTGGATAAAAGTCTTTAACTGTTATGTAATTTGCAAATATTTTCTCCCAGTCTGTGATTTCATGAATGATTTTCTTAACAGTGTCTTTTGCACAGTAGCTCACCCCTGTAATCCCAGCACTTTGAGAGGCGGAGGAGAGCAGTTCACCTGAGGTCGGGAGTTCCAGACCAGCCTGACCAACACGGAGAAAGCCCGTCTCTCCTAAAAATACAAAATTAGCCAGGCGTAGTGGCGCATGCCTATAATCCCAGCTACTCAGTAGGCTGAGGCAAGAGCATCGCTTGAACCCGGGAGGCGTAGGTTGCGGTGAGCCGAGATCGCGCCATTGCACTCCAGCCTGGGTGACAAGAGTGAAACTCCGTCTCAAAAAAAAAAGAAAAAAAGAAAAAACGTTTTCTAATTTTAAAAAAAGTCAAACATCATTTCTTAAAAAAAAAATATCATGGGTATGCTTTTGGGTTATATCTGAGCACTCATTTTCAAACTCAGTCCTGTAGATTTTGTTTACATTTATGACTTATTCAAGTTAATGTATTTATAAGTTGTAAGGTGTTTATCTAGTTTCTTCCCTTAAAATATGGACACCCAATCATTCAAGAACTATGTGTTGAAAGACTATAATTTAACCATTAAATTGCCCTGCACTTTATAAAAAACACTCAGTTGACTGTGCTTGTTTAATTCTATTTCTGCATACCCCATTCTGTTTCATTGATCCATGTTCCTATTCCTTTGCCAATATCACATTGTCCTCCTTACTGTAGCCGTTTGGTAATTCTGAAAATCAGGTGGTATGATTAATCTAAATTAGTTCATCTTCAGTGTTTTTTATGGTTGTTAGAGATCTTTGGCTTTTTATACATATTTTAGAATCAGTTTTTCAGTATCTATAAAACAAATTGTTGGAATTGTCATTGACAATGCCTTCAACCTGTATTTTAAGTTGAGAAGAACTGACATCTTAATATTGAGTCTTTCCATCTATAAACATAAATATCTCTCTGAGTTTTTTCATCAGTATTTTATAGCTTTCCAAATTCAGGTTCTGTACATATTTATTAGATTTTAATTTAAGCATTTTGGTTTTCATTGCTATTGTAAATAGATTTTTAAACTTCAAATTTCAATTTATCGTAGAATAGCAATTCACTTTTATATATTCACATTGTATCTTTGTGTCATGCAGTTTCATCATGCTTGCTTATTAGTCCCAGCATTTTGTTTCTCCACATAGACAATTTTGTCATCTGTGAATAAAGAGTTTCATTTCTTGGTCTCCTCTCCACTGTGTATATTTTTTATTTTTATATGATCAACTACACTAATAAGGACTTTCAGTAAAGTATTTGATAGAAGTTGTGGGAGAGGCCATCCTTCCTTTCTGCTCTTAGGGGAGTAAGTCTTCAGTCTATATTCATTAATTATGATATTAGCTGGAAGTTTGTCCTATATGTCTTTTGGTAGATTAAGGAAATTCCCTCTTCATAGTTTTTCGAATGTGTTGAATTTTTTGAATGTCTTTTCTCTGTCTAATAATATGGTCATCCATTTTTTCTTCTTATCCAGTCTGTTAATATGATAAATTGCATTTCTTGACTAAAATGTTGAACCAGCCTTGCATTCATTAGTTAAACCCCACTTAGTATGGTGTATTATCCTTTTACATATTTTTGGATTCAGATTGCTGGCATTTTTTAACCCTTGTTTTATGTCTGTGATCATGAGAAGTATTGATCTATAGTTTCTTTTCTTATAATACATTTGTCTGTTTTTGCTGTTAATACAATGCTGGTCTCATAAAATGAGTTGGGAAGTAATCTCCGTTGCTCCTTTTTTTGAAAGAAGATGGTGTAGAATAACCATTTCATCCTTAAATATTTTGTAAAGTTAACCAAAGTATCCTTCTTGTCTTAGCACTTGTCTCAGCACTCAGATATGTATTAACTTAATTTATTTGCCCGATATAAGGCTATTCAAATTCTTTCTTTCTTTCTTCTTGAGTGAGTTTTGGTATTTTGTGTCTTTCAATAAATTGTTCCCTTACTCCTAATTTTTCAAATTTGTGGGCATAGAGTTGTTCATATTTTATCCTTATTTTCTTTCTAATGTCTAGGTGTTGTCGGTGAAATTGTATCCCTGATAAAGGTAAGTCCAAATCCTAAATTCTCGTACTTCTGAATGTGACTTTATTTGGAAATAGGGTCTTTGCAAATGTGATCAAGTCAAGATGAAGTCATACTGGAATAGGCTAATCCCTCAATTACAAATGACTAGCATCCTTGCAAAAAAAAAAGAAGAGACACAGAGACAGAAATCCACGGGAACACACCATGTGATGCTGGAGATACAGATATTACAGTGATATATTTACAAGCCAAGGAACACCAAAGATTTACAGTAATCCTAGAAGCTAAGGGAAATGCCTGAAAGAAATTCTCTACTAGAGCCATCAGAGAGTGTGCTGGCATCTAGTTTTTAGACTTCTAGCCTCAGAACTGTGAGAGAAATAAATTTCTGTTGTTTTAACCCAAAAAGTTTGTGGGACTTTATTACAGAAGCTGTAGGAAACTAGTAAACCGCATAAAGGTATTTTATAAAGTGCTATGCAAATAATTTTAATATAAAATGAGATTCCCTTTTCATGTTTAAAATAAAACTAGAAAGTTAAGTTCATAAAATGTATTTTAGCCACTTTTTATAATATTGTGTTTTGTTCTCTCTACTTTTCTTTTTTTCTCTTTTCTTAATGAGCCATTCATAACCTCTTGATATATGCATTTCTGGCCATAATTATTTTACCACAAATTCACAGTGAAATAAAATACTATCTAGTAGTTAAAATGATTAACATATTTATAGATCTTCACAGACTTTAGAATACTTTTAATAATGACTCTATCATAAAACCCTATGAGATAGCAGATTTTCAGAGGTAAAATAACACATCCTGCATCAGACCGTTGCTTGCAGAAGTGGTATTCAAACTCAGATCTTGGCCTGATTCTAAGCCTAGTAGTTGTTGTATTTTGTAATTTAGATTCTCATTCACTTTTATTTCATTAACAGAACATGTCCTTGAACGTTTCTTTTAATATTAAAAAATGCATTCCAGTTAATAACATTAGTCACTTAATAATATATATTGTTTCTACCATTCAACACAAATAATTTCCATGTAGTGTGTGTAATGCCGACAGAATTGTTCGGGATTAGTAAGGTAACTGCATAAACATGTTTTATTTTGAAAACACCTTAGATGACATTTTGTTGAATCACTTAATTTTGAAAAGAGATTTTTTTTTTTTTTTTTTGAGACGGGGTCTAGCTCTGTCGCCCAGGCTGGAGTGCAGTGGGAGGATCTGGGCTCACTGCAAGCTCTGCCTCCCGGGTTCACCCTATTCTCCTGCCTCAGCCTCCCGAGTAGCTGGGACTACAGGCGCCGGCCTCCAAGCCAGGCTAATTTTTTGTATTTTTTAGTAGAGACGGGGTTTCACCGTGTTAGCCAGGATGGTCTTGATCTCCTGACCTCATGATCCACCCGCCTTGGCCTCCCAAAGTGCTGGGATTACACGCGTGAGCCACCGTGCCCGGCCTGAAAAGAGAACTGTTAATAAATTATACAATTATAGCTATTTTAGACAAAATATTGGGCCACATATTTCCTACCCTTGCTACATATACACAGTAATACACTGAAATTAACATTATGATGTTTAAAATACATGTTCAGACATGAATGAAACACAGTAGAGTCCCTGGGCATCAGAGAAAAAGAGGTAACTTCAAACTGGTGCACAAAGTGGGAGCTAACAATTTGGGAGCTAATGAGAATAGCAGACAGTATATTGATCCTATGGGATGAGATTCAGGTTTTAATACAGGAAAAACTTCTACTGAGCCTTTTGCATAAAGTCGAAACATCAATGAGATGGCTAGTCATGAAAGTGGGATTAGATCAACATCCTCTTTTGGCCTGTGATATGGCAAGAAATTTGTGACTGAGAAAAGAAATAGTTGTTTAAAATCTTGTCTATTCTATAAGAAATTTTAAAATGCTCATGTCTTAATGAAATTCTAAATTATGAAGACTGATCATGAAAGCTGATCCCACAATAGTGAAAACTCTGGAGTCTTGGAAAAGTCAAAAATTTATTGAATGCTCAATTATAGAGCACACATTGGACTCCACAGGGAGGTAAACGCTTACAGATGGTGAGCTCTGTATCAAAAGTTATAAAACATACACTGAAACAAACCACCACGAGAAAGATTTAGCAGGCGAAAGATTTAGCATGCGAAAGAATAGCACCTATGAGTAAGGAGATAACACAACAATTTGGAAGGTACACAAATGTATTTAAATGCATAAAAAGATAAAAGAATAGAAACCATGAAACAGCAAAAAGAGAATGAATAAAAAAATTTGGGTAAAAAATAATGAAAACTTCTTGTTATGAATATATGTTGTCATAAGATGCAATACACACTGAAAAAAGTAAAGGTTTATAAAGAACCGTTGAATTTATAAACTTTAGGAGATTTTTACAGAAATGAAAAAAAGAGCCAAAAGAATAACACAGAATGCAACTGAGAATTTTATGTGATAAAATTTATTTTGTGAGATAAAATTAATGAAGATAGAGATAAAAGTAATGAAGCAGTTTAAGAAAGATGGGTAACAGATTTAAAGGGTCTGATAAAATATCGCATGATAGAATAAGATAATATTTGCGATGATAATGACTGTAAATTTGCAGTTATTAAAGGAAGACCTGAGAACCAAGGACAAAAAAAATTAAAAAAATCAATCAAGGTCAAGGAGCATATATGTATCATATATACATTTGGTCCATCTAGAACTAGAATATTAAGCGCACATTGCATATGTTAAAAAATAAGGAAGTAATGTAATGGAAAAGCAGACTTACCATGTGTAATCCGATATTACAGGAGGAAATTAAATGAAATTCTTTGTTTAAAAAAACTCTGAATATTAACTTTAAAGGAGTGATACTAATATTTTCATCTTTTTGCTATGCAAAATTGAGTGTGGTAAAATGATGTGATTGGTAGAAATTGCTTTAAAATACCACAGCGAAAAATGTTGGGTGAAGAATCGACAAAAAAATACTGATAAAAATCTGATGGTTACTGAGCATGCGTTCAGTTTACTATTTTTTTACTTTGGTATGTGATTGCAGATTTTCATAAATATCTGTCAAAGTAAAATTCTATGAACTTTGATTATAAGTTTACAGAAATTGTTTGTTCCTGGATTACCAAAAACAAGCTAAAACTAAAATAACAAAGAAATATTGAGGATGGAAAAAAATAGAATAATGTTTTTTTGTGCATTTATTATTTGGTAGAAAAGAGATAACAACATTGCACTGTGACAAATCGATTAAAATTTCAAAGGGTTTGCTGTAAAATAATAGAAAGATGGATACATTTCAAAATTGTATAAGAAAATTAGGTAACTAACAGAATTTGGTAAATTTTATAGAAGAATTAATGAGGAGGAAAATAAAAGGAAAGCGTACCAAGTAGAAAACACAAAATAAAATGAGAGAAATATTTTCCATTGTATTTATAACTAAAATAAACTGAAACATTAAAATTACATCTTCAAAGCAGAGATTATGATGGTGATAAAAAAGCTGTTATATAAATTTTAAGTGTATATATATATATAAAGCATGTAATTAAACAGAAAAAATAAAGTAAAAATATAGAATGTATATCAGGAAAACACTAACAAAGAATGTTGCTAATTATAAGATGTACAAATAAAATTATTTTTTCCTTAATGATTAAATGTAGGAAAATTATACATTTAGGGAAAAAAAAATCCAAATCTTTTTGTACGTGAAAACATCTACACTGGCCGGGCGGGGGGCTGATCTCCCCACCTCCCTCCCGGACGGGGCGGCTGGCCTGGCGGGGGCTGACCCCCACCTCCCTCCCGGACGGGGTGGCTGCCGGGCGGAGACGCTCCTCACTTCCCAGATGGGGTGGCTGCCGGGTGGAGGGGCTCCTCACTTCTCAGACGGGGCGGTTGCCAGACGGAGGGTTTCCTCGCTTCTCAGACAGGGCAGCCGCCCCATCCGGGAGTTGAGGGGCGCCTCTGCCCGGCCGCCCCTACTGGGAAGTGAGGAGCCCCTCTGCCCAGCCGGCCGCCCCTACTGGGAAGTGAGGAGCCCCTCTGCCCGGCCAGCTGCCCCATCTGGGAGGGAGGTGGAGGGGTCAGCCCCCTGCCCGGCCAGCCGCCCTGTCCGGGAGGTGAGGGGTGCCTCTGCCCGGCCGCCCCTACTGGGAAGTGAGGAGCCCCTCTGCCCGGCCACCACCCCGTCTGGGAGGTGTACCCAACAGCTCATTGAGAACAGGCCATGATGACAATGGCGGTTTTGTGGAATAGAAAAGGGGGAAAGGTGGGGAAAAGACTGAGAAATCGGATGGTTGCTGTGTCTGTGTAGAAAGAAGTAGACATGGGAGACTTTTCATTTTGTTCTGTACTAAGAAAAATTCTTCTGCCTTGGGATTCTGTTGATCTATGACCTTACCCCCAACCCTGTGCTCTCTGAAATATGTGCTGTGTCCACTCAGGGTTAAATGGATTAAGGGCGGTGCAAGATGTGCTTTGTTAAACAGATGCTTGAAGGCAGCATGCTCCTTAAGAGTCATCACCACTCCCTAATCTCAAGTACCCAGGGACACAAACACTCTGCCTAGGAAAACCAGAGACCTTTGTTCACTTGTTTATCTGCTGACCTTCCCTCCACTATTGTCCTATGACCCTGCCAAATACCCCCTGCGAGAAACACCCAAGAATGATCAATAAAAAAAAAAAAAAGAAAACATCTACACTGAAAAAAATGCCAAAAAAAGTATAAAAGTGCAGTATTCTAAATTTACTCTCTCAAAGTCTCTAGATCAAACAGTAATTAAGGTACGGAGATTTAACACAATAAACACTTAATGTAATAGGCATCCATAGAATTCTGCAAAAAAATTAGAGAACACATTTTTTAAACCACACTTGAGACATAAAAACAGTCAAACAAAAATCATTGACCATGTGTTAAACCACAAAAGGAATATCAAGAAGTACAAAGTATCAATAAATTAGAATCTAAGTTTTCTGAGCACAATGCAATAAAATCCACAACAATTACACTATCCAAGGCTCCTCAGATGACACGATGAGAGGCAGTGACAAGTAAAAAACCCCAATACCTCTTTAAATTGCAGATTCATGAACAAAAATTATTGCTTTAAACCACTAAATTCTGGAGTGGTTTATTATGTTCCATAAATAATCACTAATCAAAACATTATAATAATGGTTAACATTTTGAGTATCATGTGCAAGACATTGTTCTATGCACTTAAAATTAGAATTCATATTAATTTATTTAACTCTCTGAGTTAGGCTCCATTCAAAACTCAGTTTTGAAAATGAGGAAATTGAGGTGCAGACGGGTTCTGTCACCTGCTCCAGGTCTGAGCTTCCAAGTAGTGGCGCCAGGCAAATGAGCTCCAGAGCCCTTAGTCTCAACCACTACATATCAGAATTAAAGTGTTTTGAATAACATTGAGTTGAAAATGGATTTACCAGGTTCTGACAAAAAGCAGCCTTACATTAAGAATCAGGAATTCCAGTTATGGCTATGTCTTTGCCACTAATTTTCTAGGATATTTTGGAGAGTCATTTAACTTCTTGGTGGTTTATTTTTCTACTCTGTAATATGAAACTATCACAAAATAATCGTTCTTTTTTATTTTTATGAAGCATTAAACCACTAAAAATATGTCAGATATTATGTTTAACTTTTACAGGAAAAGTCTATCAGACTGATGGACATTTATAAGAAAATGGCTCAAGAAGTACTGATCAAATAATACAAGCTTTAATGCATCACTGCTTTTGTAGAGTCTGTCTCTTGCTATAGTCAAATAGGGCACATTGAAAATCACTGTGTTCCCCATTCTTACAATTGCTTCAATAATTTATAAAGATGGCATGTAAAGTGACAGGAAATTGATACTCAGAGAAATATGTTTCCCCAAACCACTGTCAAATGAGCTGGCCTCTGGATGTGTCCTGAATGGCGTGACAGTTGAAACAGTCCCTAAAGAAATCAGAGAGCTTTAACAATTTGACAAAATGACTCTGCAGAGCCTGCAACCTTTACAAATTACCCTTTGTTTGAATACTGAAATGAATAATATCATTTCCAAAGAGCATATGGGGATAATGTAGTATATCTTCTACTCCCTCTAGATCAAAGTGTATCTATTGTTGTGGAGTAAATTCTCATTTACTCAGTTCTTGGAGAAATGCTCTCATAAAAAACAAAAGTGCTACTCAGCAAATTTTGTTTCACAAAATATTAGCCTTGCTACAACTTTTTAAAAACTCATTATGATTAAACTCATGCAGAAATTGTTCCAAGAAACATATACAGAAAATTTTCCAACAAGACATTTAACTATTGATGAACAGCATATTTAGTTATAGAAATATCTATACAATAAAACTGCTTTTAATTTTCCATTTTTTTCAGTTGTTAATTGTCTTCCTTTCTTTTCTCATTTCCTCTGTTCCCCTTTTTTTCTTTATAACTATAATATCTAAATGTTAAAAAATAGTACATGATATGGAAGTACAGACATAAGCCACCAGTCTTCATGGTACACAATAGGGAAAATATGACTACATAAAAGTGGATATATTTACTTATAGTCCCATAGCAATGATTTTGTTGGAATAGTTTCTTAATATTCTCATTCTTTGATTTCTTCATTTGTAAATATACTATTACGATATCTACATTACTATCTCATAGGATAGGTATGATAACCAAGCAAGTTGCTGAATGTGGAAACTTCTAATAGGTTCTAAAATGCTATTCAAATATAGTGCCAGATTTTTAAAAAAATAGTGCTCTAAATCTTAGCCGAAAAGGAAAATAAATACTATCTATTTTGACAGCCATTGCTGCTCTTAATGCTATGTATGCTCCCCATGAATTTGAAATAAAAACTTATTATACTTTTTTGTTGTATATCTAGATGCAGAGTCATTGAGAAATAGTAATTTGTTAAATAACTCTTCCTCTGATGAGGGATGCCATAGTAATCAGTTGTTGGATCAGTAGGGTCTTTTAAGAGGGATATTTATTTTAATAATTGATAATTATCAAGAGTCAATAATTATTGCATGAAGAAATTACTCTTATGTATGAACAATCAAATTATGTTCAATTTTGTCATGGGAGAGTCTAATAGATTAAAACTAATTATCTCTAATCAAATGACTGAAAGTTTTCTAATAATCATCATGTAAATTTTGAATCTAAATATATCTGGATACCAAGTAACTCTAGTGATGATTTTAAATTTTTAGCTTTATAAACTTTACTTTAAATAGATTATTCTTACAATAGTAAATACTTTTCATTCTCTTACAACTTTGTGGTGCATTCTTTCACAGGTAAAGTGAATAAGATACTACAGGGTTAGTAGAGACAAGGGAGACTTTGTATGAAATGTTTACTCTTAATTTCTACAATCCAAAAGTTAGAAAAAATAAAAGGAGCAGTAAACAGACTTTAGGACCAGCGCTATTCAGATTTTGTGCCAGAAGTTTTTTCCGAATTTCTGGAAGCCTATACTTGAACTGCTCCTCAGACCAGAGCTTTCCTCCTGGTCAGCTACTGCCTCAAAGAGTACAATACCTCTGTTTTTAGCACCTTCGTTGGTTCTTGACCCTTTGTCTTTACTTCCGTGCACATTTTGCAGGGAAAAAACATTCTGGTGATATTCAGGACACTCCAGTAACACAATCACAACCTTACTCTGATAAACTCTGATGCATGTATTTGTTTTATGATTTTTATTACCAAACCAAATTTTTCTGCCTCCAGTTAACTAACTTTGCTTCCCCAACATAAGTGGGCTCACATGCCTGTGCGCGCACGCGCGCACACACACACACACACACACACACACACACAGACCATGTACTTATTGAGACATCTGCATCTTAAATTATTTCCTTTTTATATGGTTTACATAATTCATCTTTCAAGCTGTATTTATTACAGCACAACATAATCTCTCAACATACTGCAGAATATACACATATGTTGTGGTTCAATCAGACTGGTGGAAAAATATTAAAGATAGTTATAGTAATAGCCAAAAACTCTCTTGGAAGGCCTCAGAGTTTGCATAGCTTCAGATTGCTTGACTGAAGACAGCCGGGGTCTCTTTGCAGGAGCCGGAAAGATTAGGGTCCAAGTACAAAGGAATATGGGAAATTTATCTTACCAACCTGTTTACTGATATGGGCTTAAGACTGACCTTTGTCCTACCGCGGGTACTTTACTGCCTCCTACTCAGGGGTCGGCAGAAGTTTATTACCCGCGAATAGTGTTTGCTTTAGGCCTCAGAACCTGGCCTTTAGTCTTTACCCTCTAGTGGTGTTTACTCACAATTTTGTTAACTAGTCTTACTGAATAAATCTGAGTCTCACTAGCTGATCAGGGCCAGGTCATAACTGTTTACAGGACTCAACAGGGAGCCTGTAAATGGCTGGGACCCTCAGCTGGACTGGCAGAGCAGAGTATCTGTGTGTCAGTGTACTTTATTCATCCATCGCCAAATCAAGGGTCTACAGGAGCAGACCCCCCACAGCTAGTGCCCCTGTGAAAGGAGCACTGCCTCACACATATATCCTAACACACTCTGCGACCTTACCATGGTTTGCTTCTCTTCTCATCTACTTGGCTTAATATATCTATAGGTGCACTGTTAAATGTTTGACAACCAACTTTTTAAAATGACCCTGATTTATAATATTTTCAGATTTCTGTCATCTAAATATCCCCACCATGGATTCTTTCAAACTGTCAACATGATGCCATTCACTTAGAAAATTCTTGGAAATTTAATAACGTACTCTCAATTACCAGTATAAGCTGGCTTTCTCATTTTACTAAAAAGTAAAATATTTAGAATGTTTTATAAATAAAATACTGGGAGTGAGTTAGCTCAAACCATGCTCAGAATCCTGCCTCCAACACTGGTAAGAATTTGGGAAAGATTCTTAGCCACTTTATACCTCAGAAACCTCATTTATATAATGTGGGTCATAACAAACTTTCTTCAGGGTGCTGTGAAGATAAATTAGATAATCCATGTAAAATCTTCACCACAGTGCTATGGATATCAAAGAAATCAAGAAATAGCTTTTAGCAACATAAGGAATATACTTAGAAGAATGTCTTTGTGCCTGTCAGTTATTATAATCATTATGCTCTTCCGCTATTATTCTATTGAAACCGTATATCTTGGACACATTAGAAGCTACAATGCTCTTTTCTGGTTCTGTTCATACATATGGCATTATTGTAAGAGTGTAGTTTTTTTACCTTGATGATACTACTCATGATTATGTCAAATCTTATCTCTACAGCTTTTCTTTTGATGTTGTTGAATATTATTCTTAATACTTAAACTAAACATTTCTATAGAAAGATTGGAATTATTCCTTATATATAAAAGACAATATACTGTGGTCCTGATTAATTTTAGCTGATATTGAAGGCCATTCTGACTCATCAAGTGTGATGTTCATGCTCTTTACAACTTGACGACAGATGATATTCGTGTAACTTTTTTGTCATTTTTATAATCTCTGTAGACAATTCTTTACTCTCTTGAATAAGCCTTTCACTTACCCATTTGGATGGCAGCACTCTAGTGGGTCCTCCAACTTGAAGGCCTACATTATTCCTTTAAAAATGAAATATTGTTAAATTATTCACCAGCTTGAATAGTCAATGGATTTTATAACTATGCATTTCTTTGTGTGTATGTCAATTGGTACTTAAGTGGACTATATTCCTCATCTGGGATACTGTGATATTTGTTAATGTGTCTAAATTTGTAGTGTGCGTAATCATGAGCTGGGTCAAATGTGGGAGGAAAATTGTGAAGCTATTTTCCAAGTGTAAAAATTACAGATGAAGCAATCCAGCCAATATTCAAGTTCTGAATTCTGCTAGTCACTCCACAAGTGAAATTTAATACACTTCCTATGAGTATGAAAAAATTATCATTAAGACTTACAGATTAACTTTTATCACTTTTCTCTATAAAAATCATGAATTCCTTTTCCTTTCTTTAAAACAAAGTCTACTTTAAAAATTTTTTTAGTTACTGATTTGTAATAATTTAGCCCCCTTGTAGTGGATAATCACTAAGCAATTTATCTTAATTCTATAAAGTGTTGTGCTTCCTCTAATCACTACCTCACACACTATTTACTTCACCTGGATAATTTTCTCACCCCCCCCCCACCCCCCCCCACCCCCCACCCATACCCATAATTTTTACACCTGGCAAATTTAAAAAATAGTCTCCACAATTTTCTTCCCACATTTAACCCAGCCCCTGATTACACATGCCTAAGGCATATCATCCCACATCTACAAACTCCTTACCTTGCTACCCCCTACTCACTCAAGTGTCAGATCAGAATCACTTAAACTTTCTTTGATGTTTTTGATTGGGTTTTGTCATACCTTTCACTTACCTAGTCAACATATTTGTCTCTCTTTTGTACTGTTAGCAGATAGAGGTTGACTGTGACATAGTAGCTTATCAATAAATATTTAACAAATAATTAAGTGAATAAATAGGCTCTTCAACGTGTAATGTTGGTTTCAGTGAGGAGGTCACTTAGTTTTCAAGTATTGCTGTAAATGATGTGATAGTAACACTAAGAGAAGAAAGAAAATCGCCACATTGTTGTCTTACATCACACAAGAGAGACTAGTGCAGATTGGGACTGTAGCACTTGCTGCACATAAGTCATTAATTTGGAATAGGATGTCACTTCTTTCATTATGAGATTGCCAAATTACAAGATATGTGGGATGAAATATCAGCAAACAAAGGACCTTCATTGGGGGGTTATAACATTAGGGAAAAGATAGTCACAGAGTGAGCAAGAGTTTTATGAGTCTGTCAATTGACTGATTGGCAGATCTCTGTAAAATGAGCCTTTAGGGATCTGGTACTTGAATTTTAATTAAACCAAAATTATTCATTGTTCAGTTCTAAATCCCTAAAGAGAAATTGAAAATCTTGCAGAGAGACTCCCAACAGTAATTACATGTTCTGCTGAAATTTAATTGACTTGCATTACCCCGATAGACCTGACAAAGAGCTAGGTCATGGCATAGATTTTTAGAGGAATTAGATGAAAGGCAAAAATCTACTAAAAATATAAAACAATGACCAAAACTCTGCATAATTGCTTTAATACAAGAGAAGAATAAGAAATCCATTCTTTATTGTGAGTCATCTAAATATTTACAGTAAATTAAATATACTGTTTCACATTCCTTTTTTTCTTCTACTGAGCAATGTGATTTTTAATACAAAAATGCCTTTGAAAATTATATTCTGGATGAAAATTTTAGTCAAAGTACCATATTAATCTTCAAAATACTATCTAAAATAGCTCATTTTTTAAAAAAGTAACAGTGGTTTTGGTTGAATTTCTCTACCAATTTTTCATGTATTTATGAATTTATTAACCCTGATATTATTCTCCATGTACGAAGATGACATTGTTGATTAACCATCTGTTAAAATGTTGCTTCGAGTGTTGGTTTTTTTTTTTTTTTCTCATTATAGTAGTTAACTGAGTGTATTCATTCCCTTTCCTGCTTAAGCTTTTCCTGGACCTCTTATCATTCAGAGCATGCCTAAATCAAAGCTTATTAGTCCCACAGGCATAGAATCTACCCAAGGGTAAAGAATTAAAAATCATAAAATTATGGGTAGCCCCATTATACTGTCTCCACTATCCAGTTCTTTGATGAAGCCTCATGCCTTTCTTTCATGTTTCTTTCTATCATTGGATAATCCTTTTCTGTGTACCTCACAGTGTCTGTTGTACATTTTCATATACCCTTTGTTTTGATTTCAGGACATAGGCCAATCTATGTCCTAGAAGAGGCTCTGGTATGAAATATAGGAAATGGAAAAGCAGTTAAAATCATATTTATTGAAGACAGCTGCAGTCAGATGCATGCAAGGATAGCAGACAGGTGGTTCTCAGTGGCTTCTAGGTGAGCTTTGGAAATCTGTGGTGGTGATATAGAAGCTGAGGTTGTCAGTGCCAGATGCAGGTATCTTACTCCCCTAGCTTTTTCTTTCAAATATTTCACATGCCTCTAATTCTCTACATTAAAACATCTGACATTTGAGGTATATAAAGTGACTCCTTTTTTCATTAAACCCTAATCAAATATCAATTTCTAAATTTTTTTAAGAAGACAATTAAAACCTGAATAAATTATAACCAAGGGATCAGTTGAACACAGTTATCTAAGAATGATCCTTAAGTGATGTTACATGTCCTGACAATTTTTCTGGTGGGTTTCTTTAGTACAGATAATGCTCATACAGATTACTGGAATCAGGTCTATGAAATAATGAGAAGATGTTCATTTCCTTTATAAATACAATAAATTCCAATAACAATAGGAAAAATAATACTTTTTAAATGAAATGTAAGCATTCTGACTTCTGGCTAAAAACCTAGGGTTATTTTTCAGGCCCAACCACAGGCAATTGCAAAGGCTTCGCCAGACAGGCCTCGTGGGGAAAGCTGCCCTCCCCACACCAGGCTTGGGGCATAGCCCACCGATTTCAGTCTCTTCAGGAAGGGGCAGTCAAGGACTCGGGCATCCCTGCATTCCCAGCTTAGGTGCTTCTATCTGGAAGTCTCTTTATGGGGAACTGGGGTTCCTTTGAGGCCCCCTCTCAGGTACCTCTGGACTTATCAGAAGAAAGGGAGGTAGCTTGAAGACCCTTTTCTCCACTCTGACTCAGTTCTCAGTACTTTTCAACTCCTAGAACTTCCCCTTCTCCTAGTCCAGGATCTTCGGGCCAAAAAACAGCAGGAGCCTTTTGTTGAGAGCTCCCTCAGCAATGAGATGATTCCCTACAGCTGTGCTGATTCACCTGCCCAACACGCCCTTCGATGTTTCATGAAAAGATTATTTTTTCTTCGTTGATCTCCAATATGATGCTTAATAGGAGTGGTGAATGTAAACATCTTTGCCATGTTTCTGGTCCTAGTGAAATTACTGTCTTTCACAGTTATGTTACAGTGTTAGCTATACATATTTTGTAGATGCTATTAATCAGGTTATGGAAGATTTGTTTTACTCTGAGTTGTTTTTTTAATTTTATTATTATTATACTTTAAGTTTTAGGGTACATGTGCACAACATGCAGGTTTGTTACATATGTATACATGTGCCATGTTGGTGTGCTGCACCCATTAACTCGTCATTTAGCATTAGGTATATCTCCTAATGCTATCCCTCCCCCCTCCCCCCACCCCACAACAGTCCCTGGTGTGTGATGTTCCCCTTCCTGTGTCCATGTGTTCTCATTGTTCAATTCCCACCTATGAGTGAGAACATGCGGTGTTTGGTTTTTATAATGAATGGAAGGTGAGTTTTCCCCATTGCTTTTTCTGTATTTATGAAGGGAATCAAATTGTATTTTTGTTTTTGATATTGTTAGTTACCTCGATTGATTTTCATTATTCAAATGTTGATGCAATCTTGCTTGCATTGGGTAAATCTCACTTTATCATCTTTCTTGTATACTGTTATATTTAATTCCCCATATATTTTGAGAAATTTTGCATCTGTGCTCATCAGGGATGTTAGTTTACAGTTTTCTTTCCCTGTAAGGTCTTTACTAGTTTTGATTTCAGGATATTCCACATATCACAATATGGGTTGGAAAGCATTCACTCCTTTCCTACTTTCTGAAATTGTTTTTATGGTACAATTGGTATGTTTTCCTTAAATTTTTAATAGTTGGTTAACATATCTTGGCCTGTAGTTTTCACCACTGGAGTTTAATTTTTTTAACAATGAGTTTAATTTCTCTGGTAGGTATAGTACTATTCTGGTTGCCTCTTCCTTTTTGAGTAAATTTTGGCAATTTGTATCTTTCAAGGAATACGTAAATTTCATCTCAGTTACAATTTTTCGGCATAAAGTCGTTTATAATGTACACTTGTTACCCTTTTACATATCTCAGCTATGTGGTGGTATACTGATACAATTTTTAACTTGATAATTTGTGTCTTCTGTTTTTCAGTTTGTTATCACTCTGGCTATACATTTATCAATATTATTGGTTGTATCAAAAAGACATTTCTTTTAAAAAATTTCTGTTGTCTTTTGGTTTCAAATTTCTTTAATTGTCTCTGTTTTTATTTATTTTTTATTTGGATTTACTTTGCTTTTCCACTTTAAGTCAAATTTTAGATCATTGATATAAAACCTTTCATCTTCTCCAATATAAGCATTTGATGCTATATGTTTCTCTCCAAAAACACTGCTTTAACTGCATCCTACACATTTTGATATGTTGCCATGGCTGTCTGGACATTGAGTACAATTCTGCTTTCATTTCACTCAATTAAAAATACTTTGAAACTTTTCCTCCACATAGATGCATACATTTATGTAGAAATATCTTAGTAAAGTATGTTGTTTAGTTTCCAAATATTTGTAGATTTTTCAGATACTTTTTATGACTGATTTCAGGGGTAATAACATGTGATTAGAGACTATAAGTTGTATATTTTCAATATTTTCAACATCTGATGTTTGTTTTATGTACCAGAAAATAATTTTTGGTGATTAATATTTTATGTCACTTGAAAAATATGAATACTTTTATCTTATTGGGTGAAGTGTTCTACAAATGTCAATTCAGACAAACTGACATTTGATAGTGATGTTCTGGTCTTCATGACCTAATGATACCCTGTCTATTTGTGTTTTGATTACTGTAAGAGAAATGTTAAGTTTTCCCAGCATTATTATAAATTTGTACATATCTTCTTTCAGTTACTTTTGTTTTACGTATGTTGAGTCTTGGTTGTAGGGTAAATACATATTAAGGATTACTATGTCTTTATGGTGTATCAACCTCTATGGTTATGTAATGTTCTGTTTTTCCATGGAAATATTTCTTGTCTGAACTGTCCTGTTCGTAACATTGATAATGTCTTCCAGCTTATTTTGATTAGTGTTTTATGATAGTTGTATTCCATCCTTATTTTAAACTATGTTTATTTTCTATTTTTAACCTATTTCATAATGAAAGGGTAACTTCTATCATTGAACATATAGTCACATTGTGTTTTCTACTATAATTGTTATCAATAATTGATGTATAATTTTAATATAAATTTATATAAAAGTATATACGTATGCACAATTTACTTTGCAGTGTATCTGTGATGGTCCCTTGCATTCATGTGGCTTGTTTCTCCTTTTCATTCTGATATTGTTTTTCTTCCTGCCTTCTCTTTTTTGCCTATATTTCTTATTTCTTTCTACTATTATGTGTTATATATTAAATTGATTACTACTGAATTATATGGTCAAAATTATAAGCAAGTTTTATTACCTGAATGTTTTATCAGAACTCTTTTGTCTTCACTGTTTTTAAAGGTAAACAAATATGTCAATTTTACTATTTTGCACATTTATTTGTGACTGAAAATTTAAAATATAGCACATCAGAATTTTCTTTTATTGCAATTCAAATTTTTGAAAATCAGAAAATCTAATTAATTATTATGCTCTTGTCAGACTACCCAATGTTTTATTTATATTATTTCCCCACAGGTTACTTTCCTTCATTTTTGTTTTGTTTTGTTTTTGTTTCTGTTTGTGTTTTTGAGGAGTCTCGCTCTGTCACCCAGGCTAGAGTGCAGTGGTAAGATCTCAGCTCACTGCAACCTCTGCCTCCCGGGTTTAAGCTATTTTCACACCTCAGTTTCCTGAGTAGCTGGGACTACAGGCACATGCCACCACGCCTGTCTAATTCTTTCATTTTTAGTAGAGACCGGGTTTCACCATGTTGGCCAGGCTGCTCTCCAACTCCTGGCCTCAAGTGATCCACCCACCCCAGCCTCCCAAGGTGCTGGGATTACAGGCATGAACTACCATGCCTGTTCTGTTGTCTTGTTTTTTTGAGACAGGTCTCACTCTGTCACCCAGGTTGGACTGAAGTGGTATGATCACAGCTCACTGCAACCTCAACCTCCCGGACCCAAACGATCCTGCCTCAGCATCCCAAGTAGCTGGGACTACAGGAACATGCCACCATGCCTAGCTGATATTTTTTGTAATTCTTTTGAGTAGAGACAAGGTCTTACTATTTGCCCAGGCTGGTCTTGAACTCCTGAGCTCAAAAAATTCTCCCAACTTGGCCTCCCAAAGTGCTGCAATTAAAGGCCTGAGCCAACCTGCCCAGCCTGCTTCAAATTCTTGGTGTTGGGCCCGCCTTCTAAAGCACATGGAAGTACATGAGACCTATTGGTACTCCTTTGGGTCAAATCAAAAAGTTGAGCTAAAGTGTATTGAAGTTAGTAAAATACATTCAAACTACACAGAACCCATATAAGTTATCCGTATTAAGATAAGAAGGAAAAGATGCTATAAGAAAAAGACATCACTCATCATAGGTTATTAAAATTATGAGTATACAGTCTCTCCTATCATACAGCTGCTTTCTCGACCTGCTGAATAAAATTACCAGCAAGAAAGAAATGTACAAGAATAGGATTTATGGTTAAATTGACTTGCCGTAATTCCCTATATTAGAATTCTCAAAAGAATCTCATGGTGATAAAGACAGAAACTTCAGCCACATTTAAATGGTCTACTTCTTCATTCATTCTTAACACCCTTAAGCTCAGTGTGTGTTAGTTTTCTTTCAAATCAAGAAAATCTCTTGAGTAATGGATATCTCAGGTACCATCCTTTGTTTCCCTACAGATAACAATGTCATTACTCCTGTCCTCCTGTAAAGCAAGTGATCTCTGGTGTTCTGAAATATCTTTTCTCTTCCCTCCTGTTGTTTGGGTAAACTTTCTGGTAGAGAGGTATGGGATTTGGTACCAGAGTTGAAAGTCAAATTGAGAAGGTTCTTTATTAACATTTCAAAGCAGAAGTTATGAGAGGTCTAAATTGTCCTGGCAATTTTTTTCAGTGAGCATTTGTGAAGACTCTGGGATCAAGGTTGGGTTAAACATTTGTGATGCCTCCATCAATGGTCTAGTCACAACTCTAAGCTCCCGAATCTTTGGGCCTCATTGGAAAGTAATGCTGAACTCTCAAATTTCTACAAGGTAGCCTGGAAAGAACTCTCTAGTCCAGAAAGAGGCTGAAAACCCAAACACCAACCTATTTTCACTCTAAAGATCTTATGCAAACAATTTTTAAAAGCTCACATTATGAAGACCCAGATGTTGAGCGATATTCTCAATATTTTCCCAGCCTTAGTTTCCTCAACTGTGAAACAGGGATAATAAAACCCTGCCATATTACAGAGTTGCTGTGAAGATTGAGCTAATATTGGCAGATAGATGAATGGTGCCTGACTCATACGAATACTTTAGAAATGTTTGTTTTGATTGTTATTCATGAATAATGTTATATTATATGTACAATTAAAGAAAGCAAAACTTTAAAAATGCAGCTTGAAATTTTGAGGGTATTGCTTTTGTTTTGAATTCAAAGGACATGCCATTTCTTAGATTTGGCTACCGCTGTTGTACTGATTCAGTAATAGAAACTCTGATTCAGTCAACAGTTCAAAGACAAATCACTTAATGTTCTTAAGTATCAAATTTGTGATAAATCATACAACATTAAACACATGTATATAAGATATTTGAGATATTTCTATAAAATATATCTATAAAACATTGAAACCTCTATCTTTATTCTTAAACAGAATTTTTGATGTGTCCACAATAGACAATACAAAGTCTATAATAAATGATACAAAATAACAGTCAATTCATTTTGTTATATGGAAGATTAGGATCACATTTATTTCATCTGAATATATATTATAATTGTGCTCAATCTATTTATTGATATTAATCACATTAAATACCAATGGGTCTCACTTACAGACAAAACACCTATATTATCTATAATAGAAGACCTGAAAAATCTTGTGATATTTGAACTGAAAAGTGATTAAAAACTGAGAACCAGAAAATGTATGCTAGCCTTTCAAGTTCATACAACTTTATCAATACTGAACTCTCAAATCTCTGTATTTCCACACAATTGCAATTTTCTTAATTATAGCTATACTTGCTTTTATGATGAATTTGGCCAACCAATTATTTTCTCATATTTTGTTCAGGTACATATAAATAATAATTTTTAATGTCTAATCCCTTTAATAAAGTTATTTCAATTTGGGATACATTTATATAAATTCAAAGAATGAAGAGAACTGAAATTTAATTTTTCTAAAAAAGTAAAACAAAAAAAAAGAAAGCTAGACATGTGACCAGAGTTATGAATAGACATGTATTAAATACATTGTCATATGATACTGAGTCCATTGAAGCACACAGTGTTCCTGGAGGCAACACAAATGCTGTGGCAACACTATAGCTAGCTATCCCGGTCTCAAATTGAGCATAGTCTTCACAGGAGAAAACCAAAATGTAAATAAATATATGTTATTCTGCCTAATACTTACAATAGAAGTGTGAACTTGGTTTAAATTGAGCAAGATGGTGGGAGCAAATGGTTCACTTTACCAGAGACCCGAGGGAATTTTTTTTTCATGATTACAGAGAACATCTCACTTTCAGTTTCATTATTGTTAGAATTAAAGCAACGTTTTGTAAAAACATTCCTAATAGGCATATGCTAGAGGAAAGAGTTTTACAGAAATATTCTGAAAATTTAGCGATTACTAAATATCCATGAGCTACACAACATTTCCCAGTTGCCCTTGTAGTTAGTCAAGAGTCACATAAATAGTCTGGCTATAGTAGATGGAGAGGATTGATGCCCCAATGTGGCTTGTCAGCTCTGTGTCATTTCTGTAATCCCAGAGGCCGCAGATTGAACTTGCAGTACAAAATATGAAGAAAACCTATATGTTTAATCATTTTATGTTGATAAGAACTACCTTGTAGAACCCCAAAAGTTTCACTGGACTTTAGATAATCAAGGAACTAAGTTTTGATGTGCTAAGCCATTGAGCTTTGGTGGGATGTTATCACAGTAAAAAAAAAATCATCTAATCTGACTAATGCAGAGATTGTAGAATTCAGATTCTTTTTTTCTAAAGTGTGTCTGTATTACTGGCAGCTATAATGCAATTCCTTTTGCCATGTTTATGAATGATTATAAATTCTTTTTTCCTTAATGTGCAATAACAAAAGGCTTTGTGAGATAGTACAAGGCTGATGTGACTATCAAAGGAACATTATTTCAGCCTTTAAAAGTTTAGTACTCTAAAGAATAGAAAATGCAGTGCATTGCATATGTTTTGCTCCTTCTATCCCACCAAACAAATGATGACATGCCTCTTGGCTGCAATCTTATATACTTACTGGAGACTATTTTCAGCATTCCAAAATTATCACTGCAAAACAGTCTGAAGAAATGTCTCTTTGGTTATTTATTTGAATTAACCAAACAGATATCCTATGTCATCAATCCTAAAAACACCTTTTTCACATTTTAACATATGTAAAATTGAGATGCATGTAACAATCAGTAGGTCTTACAATTACACTCTTTCTTGGTGATATATAAAATCATGTTGTGCCTTAAAAACCAAAGATGTTATATATTAAGTTAAAACATTGGGCTGGGCAGGGTGGCTCATGCCTATAATCCCAGCACTTGGGAGGCTGAGTCAGGAGGATTTCTTGAGCCCAGGAGTTTAAGATCTGGGCAACAAAGCAACACCTTATCTCTACAAAAACTAAAAAAAAAAAAAACTTAGCCAGGCACAGTGGTATGTGCTTGTACTCCTGGCTACTTGGGAGGCTGGGATGGGAGCATCCCTTGAGCCTAGACGTTTAGGTTACAGTGAGCTATGATTGTGACACTGCACTCCAGCCTGGGTGACAGAATAAGACCCTGTCTCAAAAAAATTATGCAATATTGCTTATACATAAGGCTATTAATTTTTTTAATTTTTTAAAAAACATTGAGAATTAATAATTAATTTGAAAATGTTTTGTTGTAAACAGTCTAACAGCACATGAAAGAGTAATTTAATTCCCTAGGGATTCCCACATAATTAATAAAAGGCAACACCAAAGAAAGGTAACAAGACCTGGAGATGATTCAAAGTTTCATATTAACCAATTAAGAAAGCCCAGTCATGATCCCTGCTTCTCTAACATCATTTATGTGGTGGCTGCATTTTCCTCAAAAAAATCCCAATGTGCTTCAGTGGGCTATTTTCCTATTTGATTTATGCACAGATTAAAAAGATCACCTTGTATTCTCTGTACCTGCGTATCTGTGATTTAAAGTATTCTTTTATAATTTATATAGTAGATAAATACATACCTATTAGTCCTTTTATTTTAAACATTAAATTAGCAAAACCATTGTTTCTGAAATAAAATATAGCAAAAAGAGTGAACACTGTTACTTTATATAAAATTGAAATAAACAAAGAGGAGTTGAAAATAAATCGTACTAAAGCAAAGAAAGAAAGCATACCTTTTTTTTTTTTTTGCTCTAATACCAAGGCTAAACATGTCAAACTAAACTAATGGTTTTTATATCAGTTCATTAGAATCTATATTCCGAACAAATCGGCTCTGCTTTTACTGTGTGAACAATTTTAGATAACAAGGATGTTTATTGAAAATAAACACATTGATCTTATTTCTACATTAAATTGCTTCATTTCAGATGTAGTTTTATCATGTAACTCTTTGAATATCACAAAAGTATGCTAACCAAATCCATAGGTTGTCATATTTTTCAAAGACAATTGTATATATCCCAGGATAGATGAAATAATATTTTAATCTCAATTTACTATCATCACAACCAAAATAATTGTACTAAAGCTTATAAAACTTACTTTAATTTCCCTATCTCCTTTTTACATAAAGAAAAATAAATGTAATAGTTATTATCTCATCCCCCATACATTATCCAGCTGCTGAGAAAGATATTATAGCATAAGGAAGGAACACTGTACTGAGCTTCAGGAAATCTGGCTTCTGATGCTAGCTCAATCCCTGTACTAGGTGTGGATGTCGACCAAAGAGCATATTCATTGTACAAATCAGAAGGTGGTTTCAGAAGCTAGTAGCATTTTCAAAATATATATAAGTTGTAAAATGGCTTACACCTAGATGCTAGTCAAATGTTAATGAACTTCTGTGCCAAGAACTACACATGAGAAAGGATAGAAATGAATGGGTTAGGATTGTGAAAAAATATAGCAGCTAGTGTGTGAACCTGCATTAATCTACATCAGGAAACATCTTGTAGGAATGACCTTTATTCATCATGTATAGGAGGTTACAGAAAATTTAGAAAGCTCATTTTACATAATCCTGAAGAAATATACCGAAACTCCTTCTTGCTCTTCTCACATGTTAGGTCTTAAGATCCGGAGATGCTCTCAGCTTTTCTTTGTAAAGCTAGCAGTAAAATGTATGTATCTGAGAAATAGAATGAGAAATCCAGCTTTCTCTCTCAGGATACAGTCTTTAAATTGAATGATTTGGTCTAAACACCTAAGTTACCTTTCATTTTCTTTTTTTAACTTTTAAGTTCAGGGGTACAAGTGCAGGTTTGTTCCATAGGTAAAATTGTGTCACAGGGGTTCATTGTACAGATATTTCACTACCCAGGTATTAAGCCTAGTACCCATTAGTTATTTTTCCTGATCCTCTCCAACCTCCCACCCCCCACCCTCCAATAGGCCCCAGTGTGTGTTATTCCCCTCTACATGTCCATATGTTCTCATCATTTAGCTTCATCTATAAGTGAGAGCAGGTGGTATTTGGTTTTCTGTTCCTGTGTTAGTTTGCTAAGGATAATGGCCTACAGCTCCATCCATTGTCCCTGCAAAGGACACAATCTTGTGTTTTTTATGGCTGCATTGTATTCCATGGTGTGTATGTACCACATTTTCTTTATCCATTTTGTAATATTCCCATACAATTTTTGTAGGTGACAATAAAAGACACAACAACTCCACTCCTTATGTGATATGCCACTTGATTAATGGGACCTTTCATGATTGGATGTTGGGGTGCCTTTACAATTTATCTTTTGTCTTGCAACCTCAAATTCAACCTTATATTCAAGTATAACTGTGACTAGGGCCATAGTTATACTTGACTGTGAATTTCCTAAATACAACTTAATGTCAATTTCATCTAGGTTTATGGAAATGTACTTCCCTCTACTTAGAAAGCTCTCTTCTTGCTTATTACCTAGATAAATGCTACCATATTTCTCACCTCAACTTGCAGGTCTCTTCCTCCAGGAAGCTTTTCCTGGCCCTCTATATGTGCTCCCATTGCACTTTGTGTTATACCTGCCCTCTCATAGCACATGTCACACTCTAGTGAAATTGCCTGTTGGCTTCTCATTTTTACCCCTCAAAAACCATGTGTCACCCTGTCTACATTGTGTGCCATGACCATAGCGCAGTTGGTTTTTGGGCAAAGTGAGACCTGTATAAATATTATTAAGTAAATGTGTCAATGAATGTTCTTCATGTGCTGGAAGGTATCATTGATCTGCAACGACCCTCAACATATTGATACAGTGCTTTGACAGGATCGATCTAGGTTCCAAGAGGCCAGATCTTTTTCACGTATCTGCATATTCTAATAAGTAATGCAGACTTACGAAATCGCAGGCAAACTGTAATAGCATGATGAATGACATGAACTGTGCTGTGATAGATAATAATTAAGCAGAAACATTCAGAGGAAGACTCTCTAGGGAGGTGGAATTTAATCAGAGAAATAAAAATGAAAGGTAAATATCACGAGAACCGTCAATTGGAGTGGTTAGAAAAAATATAAATGTCCCAAAATAACAAAGAGAACCATGTCACGCAAATGCCACATTCTCCAGGCTCAACTCTTGAATATTGCTTTAAATTGCTTTAAAAAATAAAAATACATAAAGTAAAAGCACATTAACTATTATTTCCAAAATAGAGATAAGATAAATATTACCTTATTGCAGAATGGAGACACATATCTCAGAATATAATGTTTCATTTTAAAAATTGTCATTTGGCTATTTTAATAAGAATTGAAATAATTTCCAAGGTTAAAATAATTACTTTTCACAAGTAATTTTCACAAGCAAAATCTCAGTATATGCTAGTCCTGCAATTGTGATACAAACTCTTAGAGATAAGAAGAATATATATGCTTCTGTTAGGCAAGACCATGCTTTCTGAATTCAAGGTTTTTGGACAAGTCTTTCTTATACTGTCATGGAAATGCAATTTGTAGGTTCACTCTTACAGACATACGTATAATTATATTAAAAGCATAGAGAATGATGAGAATGAAAAACTTTAAAGCTGATAGTTTTAGATTTTCATCATGGTAATTGTTAGCATACTAACAAGATGATAGGAGTCGTCTTACCAGAAGTTTCTGAAGATGAAAAATCCAAGCCAGTTTTAAAATTAATCTACTTATGCTAAAAATTGGTAATGAATATGGTTTCTCACAATAAAGATATGAAAAGGTATTATTTGATGCATGTACTTAATTGAAAATTCATGACAGGGAACGGTTTTGATGTGGGCCAAGGAAACAATAAATGAATAGGAGAAAGAATGATGTCTATAGCCAATAATTTCAGGAGAATTTCTGATAAGGCAAGAAGACATAGGGGTCTCCAGTAGAGATACTGGAAAACATTTATTACTCAAGCAGTTTCTATGAACCTGCTGGGCGTATTTCAATAGGGAAACAAATGATATGTTGAAGGGTAATGTATTTTATTAAAGTTCTTTTCCATATGCATCTTATAAAGGCCCACATACCCTTCAAGACAAGGGCATGCATAAAATTTGTTACAAAATTTGACATCTATACTTAAAATAAAATAAGAACAAATGCTAAGTTCCTGACATTTTCTTGTCACTTGCACTTTATACATCTCAGTATTAAATTTGCTTCTATTTTCTTGATGTTTTTTATTCTTACCCAGCATCAAGACTCAGATCATTGTAAACTTTGCTGAAATTGGCTGCAAAGGCCAAATTTATTAACATTATAGAGACTGACAGTATGACTGATAGCCTAATAGTTATAATTATCATTTAACTTTTATTTTCTATCAAAAGTATGAGAGCACTAGATAGTTTCATAGTTGTTGTTTCCCTGGGAATCCAGGCTAAGTGCAATGACAAGACTGTTATTTTTGTGTAGTCCATTAAACTGCAGTCCTTTCATTTTATGTTTTTGCACATGATTGGTGTCCTCATTGACAGGGTATAATGCTATGCTTCATTATCTGCATTAAATTTTTACAAACATGCATTTTGGTTACAAAATAAGATAATGAAATGGTTTTTTTTAAGAGAACTGAGAGGATTATTTTCAGGGCTCTTTAAATAATTTTTCAAAGAGAATAACATTAAAATGGTGCTGTACCTACCCTACTGATCTTTAGAAATAAATATATTTTTTTAAATAAAACTTTTCATATACATTATGTATTATTTGTAGTTATAAATACACTTATTTCCAAAATGTGTGTATATACACATTTGGGAGAGAAAAACATATATTTTGACATGTGCCAAGGAAACAACATATATATATTTGTATATATCTATGTAATATATTCATAGATATATATGAATTATAAATTTATGATACCAAAATAGGATTAGATTATATTTCAAAAACAATTTGAAAAAAGTGATAAAAAAAGCCAAAGAAAAAAGTCTATATTTTTTTTTTAAAAAAGGAACCTCACACATTAAAAATACACACGCACACACACAGACACGTATAATCTAATTTAATTGGTCATACTACATACAGTGTCCTAGACTCCAAGATCACCTTCATTAAAAGCTATAAGTATTGATGTTACAAAGTTATATGCTTCATATTCAAATAGATATCATCATAAATACTTGAATTTCATTGAATTGAATACATATAATAGCAATGTGAACTTCCTTCTTAGAGTAGATTAACATATTAGGGAAAGCAATGATCAATACAATAAATAAAACATTACATTTTAAGGCTGAATAATATTCCATTGTATGATTATGTCACAATTATTTTATTCATCCATTGATAAACATTTGGGTTGTTTCCATATTTTAGTTATTGTGAATAAATCTGCAATTAACATGGAATGGAGCTAGTTCTTCAAGATCCTGATTTCACTTCTATTACATATGTACAGGTGGGATTGATGGTTCATATGGTAGTTCTATTTTCAATTTTTGGGGGAACCTCCATGTTGTTTTCCATAGCAGCTGCATCATTTTACATTCCTGCCAATAGTGTACAAGTAAGTGTTACAATTTCTTCACAGCCTCACCAACACTTGTTATCTTGTTTCTTTTTTTTTTTTAACGGCCCTCCTAACAGGAGTAAGGCAATATCCTTTTATGGCTTTGATTCACATTTCCTAATGATTAGTGACATTATGCACTTTTTTGGTATACCAGTTGGCTATTTGTAAATATTCTTTGGAGAAATGTCTATTGAAGTCCTTTCCCCATTTTTAAGATTGGGTTATTGGTATTTTTAGTTTGTATTTTTATTTTTTGCTATTGAGTTGTAGGAGCTCCTTACATATTTTGAATACCCCTTATCAAATATATGATTTGCAAATACTTTCTCTCATTATGTGGGTTGCATTTTCATCCTGTTGAATGTTTATTTGTTGTGCAGAAGGCTTTAGTTTTATATGGTCTGACACCTATTTTTGGTTTTGCTACCTGTGTTTTCAGTGTCATATCCAACACATTATTGCCAAATGTCCAGAGGCTTTTATGTTTTCTTCTAATAGTCTTAATTTGAAGTATTACTTTTTTAAGCCTTTAATCCATTTTGAGCTAAGATTTTTGTATGATGTAAGATAGAGTCCAATTTCATTCTTTTGCATGTAGACATCCAGTTTCCCAATATTTAAATAAAAACTGTCCTTTCCTAAATGTATACTATTGACACTCTTGTCAAAGATCAATTGACCGCATATGTGTGAGTTTATTTCTAGGCTTTCTGTTCTGTTTCACTGTTATATGTGTCTAGGTTTATGCCAGTACCATACTGTTTTAATTCCTATAGCCTTGTAATATATTTTGAATAAAGAACTATAATTTCTCCAACTCTGCTCTTCTTTATCAAGATTGTTCTGGCTATTTTGATATTTTTTTGTGGTCCCTTATAAATTTTAAAATTCTTTCTGTTTCTGTAAAAAAAAAAAGTCATTTGGGATGTTGATGGGAATAGCATTGAATCTACAGATAATTTTAGGTAGTATGTACATCTCATCAATATTAGATCTTCCAACTATGAACACAAAATGTCTTTCCATTAATTTGTGTCTTTAATTTCTTTCATTGATTTTTTTTTTTAAGTTTTCAGTGATGAAGTCCTTCACTTCCTTGGTGAAGTTTGTTCCTAAGTATTTAAATCTTTTTTTATGGAAGATAAAATTGTTTTATTTCTTTTTTGGATACTTCATTGTTAGTGTACACAAACAGATCTGATTTTTGTGTGTTGATTTTTAAAATTAAATTAATTTTTAATTGACATGTAATAATTATATTTTCATACAAGTATATAATGTGTAATGATCAAATCAGAGTAATTGGCATATCCATCATCACAAATATTTATATTATTTATTATTGTTGGGAACATTAAAAACCCTCTCTTCTAGCTATTTGAAAATATACCATAAATTATTGTCAATTGTAGTCACCTAACAGTGCTATAGAATACTAAAACTTATTCCTCCTATGCGTTAACCAACCTCTCCCTATTCCCCCACCCCTCTTTCCTTCCCAGACTCTAACAATTACAATACTATTATCTACTTTTATGAGCTCAATTTTTTTAGCTCCCACATATGGGTGAGACATTCTGCTATTTATGTTTCTGTGCTTGACTTATTTCAGTTAACATAATGTCCTCCAGTTTCATCTATGTTGCTGTGAATGACAGAATTGCATTATTTTTATGGCTGGATAGTATGCCATTGTGTATATATGCCACATTTTAAAAATCCATTCATCTAGTGATGAATATTTAGGTTAATATCCTGGCTATCATGAATAGTGCTGCAATAATTATGGGGGTGCAGGTATCTTTTGATATACTGACTTTCTTCCCTTTGAATAAATACCCAGTAGTGAGATTGCTGGATCATATCATAGTTCTATTTTAGGTTCTTTGATAAACTTCTAAACTGTTTTCCATAATGGCAGTACCAATTTAACCTTCATACTGACCATAAATAAGAATTCCCTTTTTCTCTGCATACTCGCCAGCACTTCTTTTTGTTTGATTTTGTTTTGTTTTGTTTTTGATGAAAGCCATTCTAACTGCAGTGAAATGATGTCTCACTGTTCTTTTGATCTGCATTTCTCTGATGATTAGTGGTGCTGAGCATTTTTTTCATATATTTCGCCATTTTGTACCTTCTTTAGAGAAATGTCTATTTAGAGCCTTTGCCCATTTTTTAATCCCATTTTTTTTTTCTGTTGAGTTCCTCGTCTAGTCAGGGTATTAAAATCCCTGTTGAATAAATAGTTTGCAAATATTTCCTCCCATTCCGTAGGTTATCTCTTCACTTTTTCAGTTGTTTCCTTTGGTGTGTAGAAGCTTTTTACCTTGATGTGATCCCACTTATCCATTTTTGCTTTGGTTGCCTATGCTTTCTTTTGTGATCTTACTCAATAAATATTTGCACAGACAAAATGTCCTGGAGAGTTTCCCCAGAGTTTTCTTCTAGTAGTATCATAGTGTCAGGTCTTAGATTTAAGTCTTTAATCCATTGTGATTCGATTTTTGTATATGGTACTAGAAGGGGTTCTGGTTTCATTTTTCTGCCTACATATACCTAGTTTTTCCAGCATCATTTATTGAAGAGGCTATCATTTTCCCAATTTATATTCTTGGGAACTTTATTAAAAATGAGTTGACTATAAATATCTGGATTTACTTTGGGATTTTCTATTCTGTTGCATTGTTACATGTGTCTGTTATTATGTCAGTACTGTCCCATTTTGGTTACTATAGATTTATAGTATAATTTGAAGTCAGGTAATGCAATGCCTTCACCTTTTGCTCAGGATTGCTTTGGCTATTTGGGTTATTTTGTGGTTCAATAAAAATTTTAGGATATTTTTTCTATTTCTGTAAATATGTCATTGTTATAGTGATAGGAATTACATTACAACTGGAGATCACTTTGAGAAGTATGATAATTTTAACAATATTTTTTTAAGTTGTGATTTATGTTGATAATTTTTCTTTTTTGATACAAGGTGTCTGTCTGACATCCAAGTTGGAGTGGAGTGGCATGATCCTAGCACACTCCAGCCTCGAACTCCTGAGCTGAAGCAATCTTCCAGCCTCAGCCTCCCAAGAAGCTGGGATTATAGGTATGCGCCACTGCACCCAGTTGATTTATTTTTATTTTTATTTTTAGTAGAAACTGGGTCCCATTATGTTGCCCCAGTTGGTTTTGAACCCCTGGCTTCGAGCAATACTTCTACCCTGGCCTCCCAAAGCTCTGAGATTATAGACATGAGCTGTAATACTACTGGGTACTTCTTATTCCTACTGGGTATTTATTCAAATGCCAGATATATGTTGATAATTTATTCTACAGCTTTACTGAATTGGCTTACTAATTCTAAGAATTTTCTTGTGGAGTCTTTAGGAATTTCTACATGTAATGTCATGTCATTTTCAAATCTACTTTTATACCCCAAGAAACTAGCAAAAGAAAAACCAATTCAGCCCAAAGTTAGCAGAAGAAAGGAAATAATAAAGATTGGAGCAGAAAAAAAATAGAGGGTAGAAAAACAATTTTAAAAATTGACAAAACTAAGGTTGGTTTTTTAAAATGATAAACAAAATTAACAAACATTAACTATACTATGAAGAAAATGCTTAAATAAATATACTTAGAAATAAAAGAGTAGACTTTAAAACTAATGTACATAAATAAAAAGTATTATAGAAACTACTGTGAATGATTATACACCAACAAATTGAGAAACCTAGGAGACATAGATTCATTCCTTGAAACTTAATCTACAATGATGGAATCATGAAGAAATAGAAAATTTGAACAAACACACAATCAGTAAAAATATTTAATTGGAAACAATACATATATGATTAATTTACATTTATTACAGTGTCCTAACAATGTAAAGTCCAGAATCAGATGGTATCACTGGTAAATTCTACCAAATATTTAAGAAAAAATTAATGTCAATTAATGCTTCCAAAAAATTGAAGAGGAGGGAATATTTCCAAAGTTATTTTATGTGCCCAGCATTACCCTGATACCAAAGCCATAGACACTGCAAGAAAAGAAAACTACAGGCCAATATCCCTGATAAACACAGATGCAAAAACCCTCAACAAAACACTAACTAAACAAATTTAACATCAAATTAAAAAGACCATCTAACATAACTAAGTGGGAGTTATTCCTGGGGTGTAAGGATTATTCAGCATATGCAAGCCAATTAATATGATACACCACATTAACAGAATGAAGCATAAAAATCACGTAATCATCTCAATTGATGTACAAAAAACAATGGACAAAATTTAGCACTATTTCATAATAAAAACTCAACAAACAAGATATAGAATTAACCTCCAGATAATAAATGTCATGTATGACAAGCCCACCAGTAACATCATGCACAACAGTGAAAAAATAAACACTCTTCATCTAAGACGAGAAAGATGACAAGGTTGCCCACTCTTGCCACATTTACTCAGCAAGTGCTGCATGTCCTTGCCAGAGCAATTAGGCAAAAAAGCATTCAAATTGGAAAGGAAGAAATGAAATTACTGTTGAAAAGATTAAGTCTCTTAAAATGTATATTCAAAAACAGCTTTTAAATCTTATATTTCAATGGTGAATAGTTATAATGAACATATAGATATTACTTTGGATTTTATATTATTTTGCTTTTCCCAGGATTTGGTCCCTTTTTCATGTTACTTTTTTTAGTGGAATGAACATACTCCTGCAGATTTTTATCCTTAAGGGCAATTTGTGGTGACTGCCTCTACATTGGAAGCCAAGGAAATCAAGTTTTTACCTCTCCTTTCCACTTATATAATCAGATTTTAGGCAATGGAATTGAGTGTATCCAATTTGAGTAACTGGATGTTTGCCCCCCAAACATCATGTTGAAATTCGATCCCCAGCATTGGCAGTAGGGCCTAATAGAAGGTGTTTGAGTCGTGGGAGTGGATTTCTTATAAACGGATTGATGCCAGCCCTGGGATGGGGAACAGGGAGTATGAGTGAGTTATTACTGTTGATTTCCGTGAGAGCTATTTTAGAAAAATAGCTTAGCACATCTTTCCAGTCTCTCTTTCACCATGTAATCTCTTTACTTGATGGATGGCTTTGCCTTCCACCATGAGCGGAAACAGCCTGAGGCCCACACCTATGCCAAATCTTGAAACTTCTAGGCAGGAGAACAGTGAGCTAAATAAACCTCTTTTCTTAGTAAATATATATAGTATATATGTATAATATCATAAGTTATAAATTACCCAGCTTCAAATAAAAATTATCAACATAACTTTTATACAGCAACACAAAACAAACTAAGACACCAACCTAACAATCTTTAACAGAATTCTGACTCTTTAGCCAACAATGCAAGAGCTACTTTGAGGCTGAAAATAAACCATTGCAACTTTAGGGCAACAAGATTAGTGGCTGCAGAGTCCAAAGCAGACTATCTTCACTTTGAGATACTGTATTTTCTGCATTGTCCCTCTTGCCTGCAGAAACCGCCTTGCTGTCTGTCTTTTCCCACACTTAGTTAGCTGGTATCCCATCTATTCCAACATCTCAATAGATTTCCAGTTTCTTGCTTAAGTAACTGAAATATGGTATGGTTACTATTGTTTGAAATCACCCATTCATTAAATTATTCAACAAAGTTCATTGAATGTCTATTCAGTGTCAGCATTGTTTCTGTGAGTCAAGATATATCAATGAAAAAATCAAATATTCCAATGTAAGCTTATGTTTTAAAAGAGAGACATAAACCATAAACAGAAAACATAGTATGTATATTATATCATGTGTTAGCAGTTGATCAACCTTAAGGAAAAATTAAACAAGGTAAAGAAGATCTGGAAGATGGACAGTCAAGAGCAGAAAGAAGAATGAAGTTTCTTATTTCTTTTTTGATGTATCCATTAGATCCATTGTGATCTCAGCATCCTGAGAAATTAAAGCATCTTAACATTTAATAGAAACCTGAACTTTTCTTCATAACAAAAATAAATGTTCAGCATAAAGTTGAGTGGAAAAAGTATTTTACAAAATACTACATGTTACTTCATTATATAAATTATATCTGTAATAGAGAATGGTAAAAATGAATTGAATTGTTCTTAGGGTTACTTTCTAGTGGTGAAGGTGTGAATTATTCATTTAATTTTTAACTTCTTCACTGTCTCAGAATTCTTACATTTCCATGTATAACTTTATAATAAAAACTAAATTAATAAAATTTAACTTCCTGGTAAGATGATAGTTTATGAACTCTCATGTACTCTAACCAAACTTGCAAATAAAGCTTTAAGAAGTCACTAAAGAATACAAAAATTTCTGACAATATAGATCAATGATGTAAATGACCTGTATATCAGAGACTGAGAAATTTCAACTAACTGAAACACTCAAGGGAACTGAATGCAAAAAAAAAAAATCAAGATCTGGTCAAGCATCAATTTTGAACTAGAATAATGATAAAAGTACAACACTAAAGTGAGCAATTACATATAGGCACTATTCTGAGAACTTGCATATAATTTTTATATACTTTATTAGTTTCATTTAATTTTTTCATGAAAAAACTCCATATTACTGGTGAATAAACCAGTAGGCCTGTTATTTGAAGGAAGGCCTGACTTTCATCAAAACCTCATCCCAATTGTCTACTCACATTTCATAGTCATGGGAGTTGGATACACAAACAAATCCAATTTAGCACTCTCCCCATTATTGGAAAAAGTTATTCTTCCAGTAACCAGGTCAGTCTTTGCCACCCTCATTTCAATCTTGCCCAATTCAAACAATTATGTATATATGTGTATGTGTGTGTCCACCTCAATCCTGATAAGCAACAGAGTTTTTTTGGGATTTGATATGGTTTGGCTCTGTGTCTGCACCCAAATCTCATCTTGAATTGTACTACAATAATTCCCACATGTTGTAGGCGGGACCAAGTGGGAGATAATTGAATTATGGGGGTTTTTCCCATGCTGTTCTCATGATAGTGAATGAGTCTCACAAGATCTGATGGTTTTATAAAGGGGAATTTACTGGCACAAGCTCTCTTCTCTTGTCTACTGCCATGTGAATCGTGCCTTTCATCTTCCACCATGAGTGTGAGGCCTCCCCAGCCATGTGGAACTGTGAGTCCATTCAACCTCTTTATTTTGTAAATTGCCCAGTCTCATGTATGTCTTTATCAGCAGCATGAAAATGGGCTAAAACAGTAAATTGGTACCAGTAGAGTGAGGTGCTACTCTAAAGATACCTACAAATGTGTAAGTGACTTTGGAACTGGGTAACAGGCAGGGATTGGAACAGTCTGGAGAACACAGAAGAAGACAGAAAGATGTGAGAAAGTTTGGAACTCCCTAGAGACTTGTTGAATGGGTTTGGCTAAAATGCTGATAATGATATGGACAGTGAAATCCAGGCTGAGGTGGTCTCAGATGGAGATGAGGAACTTGTTGGGAACAGGAGCAAAGGTGACACTTGTTATGTTTGAGCAAAAAGACTGGTGGCATTTTGCACCTGCCCTAGGGATTTTTGGAACTTTGAACTTGAGAGAGATGATTTAGGGTATCTGGCAGAAGAAATTTCTAAGAGGCAAAGCATTCAAGGGGCGACTTGGTTGCTGCTAAAGGCATTCAGTTTTATATGGGAAGCAGAGCACAAAAATTCAGAAAATTTGCAGCCTGATAATTTGATAGAAAAGAAAATCCCATTTTCTGGGGAGAAATTCAAGCTAGCTGAAGAAGTTTACATATGTAATGAGGAGCTGAATGTTAATCCCCCAGACAATCAGAAAATATCTCCAGGGAAGATATGTCAGAGGTCTTAACATCAGTCTGTCTCATCACAGGCCCAGAGGCATAGGAAGAAATAATGGTTTTGTGGGCCAGGCCCAGGATCCCCATGCTGTATGCAGCCTAGTGGCTTGGTTCCCTGCCTCCCAGCCACTCCAGATGTGGCTAAAAGGGACGAATGTAGAGCTTTGGATGTGGCTTCAGAGAGTGCAAGCCCCAAGCCTTGGCAGCTTCCACATGGTGTTGAGCCTGAGAGTGCATAGAAGTCAGGAATTGCAGTTTGGGAACTTCTGCCTAGATTTCAGAAGATGTATGGAACCAACTGGATGCTCAGGCAGAAGTTTGCTGCAGGGGTGGGGCCCGCACGTAGAAACTCTGCTAGGGCAGTGCAGAAGGAAAATGTGGGGTTGGTGCCCCCACACAGAGTCCCTTCTGGGGCACCACCTAGTGAAGCTCTGAGAAGAGGGCCACCCTCCTCCAGACCCTAGAATGATAGATCTACTGACAGCTTGAACTGCACATCTGGAAAAGCTGCAGACACTCAACACCAGCCCATGAAAGCAGCTGGGAGGGAGGCAGTACCTTTCAAAGCCACAGGGGCAGAGCTGCCCAAGACCATGGGAACCTATCTCTTGCATCAGCTTGACCTGGTGGTGAAACATGGAGTCAAAGGAGATCATTTTGGAGCTTTAAGATTTGACTGCTGCACTAGATTTTGGACTTGCATGGGGCCTGTGTAGCCCCTTTGTTATGGCCAGTTTCTCCCATTTGGAATGGTTGTGTTTATCCACTGCCTGTATCCCCAGTGTATCTAGAAAGTAACTGACTTTCTTTTGATTTTACAGGCCCATAGTTGGAAGGGACTTACCTTGTCCCAGATGAGACTTTGGATTGTGGACTTTTGAGTTAATGCTGCAATGAGTTAAGACTTTGGGGGACTATTGAGAAGGCATGATTGGTTTTGAAATCTGCAGACATGAGATTTGTCAGGAGCCATGAGCAGAATGATATGGTTTAGCTGTGTCCCCACCCAAATCTCATCTTGAATTGTACTCCCATAATCCCCAAGTGTTGTGGGAGGCACCCGATGGGAGAT
Source organism: Homo sapiens (assembly GCF_000001405.40). Taxonomy (NCBI): domain Eukaryota; kingdom Metazoa; phylum Chordata; class Mammalia; order Primates; family Hominidae; genus Homo; species Homo sapiens. The sequence goes on from NC_000013.11 coordinate 81,132,488, forward strand.
AATTGAATTATGGTGGTGGGTCTTTCCTGTGCTGTAATCATGATAGTGAATGATTCTCAGGAGTTCTGATGGTTTATAAACTGTAGTTTCCCTGCACAAGCTCTCTTCTCTGTCTGCAGCCATGTGAGACATGACTTTCACCTTCCACCATGATTGTGAAGCCTCCCCAACCACATGCAACTGCAAGTCCATTACACCTCTTTCTTTTGTAAATTGCCCAGTCTCAGGTATGTCTTTATCAGCAGCATGAAAATGGTCTAATACAGGGTTGAACTCTGAGATTTTAGTCTCTTTTAATTTGTGAGTGGGAAAGAACTTCATTGACAGCCTTTAAGAAGTAGACTTAAATTATAGGAGGATACAAATAGCTTTGCCTTCTCATAAAATGAAATACACACACAAACACACAGACAAAATTTTTCTATATCAATAGAAACAAAAAACAAAGTCTTTCAATAAAGTTTAATGAATAAATAGGAGATTAAGATCTTTAGTTAATGTATAGCTATCGCAAGTCAATTTCAAAAAAAAAAGCTAAGTCTCTATTTTGTATAGAAGAACTCTTCCAATTACATTAGCACTAGCTTAAAAGATTCCAAACTAGAGCATTTATTTTACCACAACTGGTTCTTACCAGACATAACAGATAAAGAACCATGAATTCTTGTGACCTCAGTGTGCCAAACTCTTTCTGGACCTAACCGTAGACACAATCTTGACCAATCAACAATGGTACTTGTTTTAACCAGGTGGATACAGGCCTATGGACTCATTCTTATGTGGTTAGAATATTTTCTTTTTATTCTTAATGAGTCACTTCCTTTCTTTTTAGCATATACAAGCCCTTTAACATTTTTCCTAGCAATCTGGTCAGTGGATTTCTTCACTGTTACATGTCCCCTTGTCTGGCAAGAGGAAAGTGTTTTTATCTTTATATTGCAATCTAAATGAGCAAAAACCAGTATATGTTTCAAGAAAACGTTAAATACCAATGACATACAAATTTAGCTAAACTACACATTTACTGATAATGAAGTAAATAAAAACAAAATAAGAATAATTTTATATTCGCTCAAGAATTTGTTATTATATGGGGGATGAGAGTATATGGAAGTGAATAAAAATATAGAGTAACTGTCTTTAAGTATTTGATTGTATTTTTAAACACTGAAAAACAATACAAATCTAAAGTATGGTAAAATAGGTGCTATCACATACAACTTCATATATACATTGATGCAACAATTTTGAAAAGTAGTTTGGTAGGATACAACAATAGCTATAACATGTGCATATTCAACAATTTTACCACTTGAGCCTCCATCTTGAGAAACTTTATATTAAAAATTATTTGCAAAATTTTTGTATGCTTACTTATAATGAAGAATTAGAAATAATCAAAAGATACAGTGAAGGAACTGCAAAATAGATTATGCCAAATCTGTGTAAACTACATTATGAAATACCAAAAAAGATGCTTATGTAATATCTACCAAAATATAATAAATGACTCAAAATAAATGATACTTATAAGAAAACAAAATTAAAAATTGTATAGTAATATAACCTTATTTGTGTAAAATATGCTGAGAAAAAGTGGATGTTAATAAATAACAATATTTAAAATTATTTGTCTTTAGGTGATCCTTTTCTTTATATTTTTCTATATCACACATTTTCCAAAATAAGAACATTTTCCTTTCTAAAATTTTTTTCAACTTTGCTGTTTCTATGTCATTTTGTTTTGACACTGAAATGTTAGGTTATCAGGAATTAGAAAGACTTTGAAGTAATTTATTTTACTTTTTTTTCTTTTTAGAAATTCTGTGGCGTAACAAGTTGCTGTCACACTGGCTTTTTAAAATATATGTATATATTTGAAATACACATGCACACAACTAAGTTAGATTCGTCCACCGTTACTAATAGAAAACTACAATGTAGTGGCTTAAAAGGAGAAGGAATTCTGTTTCTCATGGTTCAGTGTGAATGAGTGCAGTATTCAAAAACATGAAGTCAGAGTCCAGTACTCAAGTTCTGTATCACTGAACATCCTGTGGAAGGCCACCAGTCAAAGAGCAGCAAGAGCACACCTAAATTAGGATTATTAGCTTGCTTCAGCTAAGGAGAAAGTTCTTCATGAGAGCCATCTAACCTCTTGGAATCAGTTCAATAAGTGGTTATCTCGGGAAGTTTTATTAAGAGTCAGAAGAAATGAAGCTAGGCTGGGCATGTCTTTGCTCAGAAGAAAAAATTGTTACCATCTTGCATTAGCTTTGTGGTCTTTTTGAATAATAATTATATTACCAAAACTAGAGAGAAAAAGTAAAAGATCTATAGCATTGCTAACATCTACTGTATGTAATTTGTTATATTTTTTATTATGTATAATAAATGCTATTCAGGCTCTTCTCAATATTACATGCTTACATTTCAGCTAAGAAAATGGTAAATTGTATTCCATAGACATATAACTTGTAGAAAAATCATTAATTTAAAAAGAGCCATAGCCAGGCACTGTGGCTTATACCTATAATCCTAGCTATTCACGCTGTCTAGATGGGAGCATCCCTTGAGTCCAGTAGTTCCAGGCTGCAGTGAGCTATGATCCTGCCACTACACTGCAGCCTGGGAAACAGAGGGAGTTCCCCATCTCTTGAAAAAAAAAGCGGCATCCATATTCTAAGTATAAATTATTATTATTTGTCTAGGTTTTGCCAATGCACTTTATTATATAATATTAAGTATTGATTAAACTTACATATGGTATACAATTAGCTATTTCTTTCCTAAATGTAAGAAATCTTCTTATGTTTTTATGTTTTTAAGAAGAGGAAAACTAACCTGAATCTTAAACACATTTCATGTATGATACACTTCCTATATTACTCTTATAAGACAAAGACAATATCAAATAAAGAAAATCTTGACAATTATGTAGTCATAAGCTTTTAAACAAGAACCAAATAGATACTAGATGAATTTTCTCCTTTGGATATAAAAAAAAATACTGAAGATGTAGTCATTTCGGGCAGCTGCATTCCATATTTAGGGAAAGTTATACAGTTTTTTTTTCAAAAAAATATTAAATATTATTAAGATATTGAAAGAAAATGAGATATGTTATGCATGTTCCTAGTATATCCCACACTAATAAACACATTTTTACAAAACTTTATAATATAATAGATATGTAATGATGTATTTATATAATGTGATTGTTTTCTAAAAGCAGTAAAACAACAAAATATTCAAAGTCTATTTATATATATTAATATTATGTTTTGTAAATTTTTTCTTCTAATTGAACTTTTAAAACAGTTTTAAAGTACTGTCAGAAACTTATGGTGATGACTTTGAAAAATAAAGGATAATATAGGAAATGACTAGTTACACTGCCTCAGTGAGTGGATTTTTGTGTGTGTGTGTGTTTTTTTTTTTTTTTTTTGTGGAATGTTGTATGATACCAGAGCAATGAGCCCCTGGTTATTAAAAGAGTGTCTTTTATGAAAACCTTAAGTTATCGATTGGCAATATAAACTCTACTGTTTAAAAAGAACTTAAGGTAAAATATGAGGAGAAAGAAAAAAAATGCTGAGACGAAACAGGTCCATAAAATACAATGGAGTATAAAATGTAGTTTTAATATAGAAAAATAAAAATGATGTAGACACAGAGTGGTTCTCACAAGGAAGTATAAGTATTAGTTAAAAATACTTTGGGGATATACACAAACAAGACCGATATAGAAACATGGAGAGTAGTTTCAATATTCAAATGAATTTACACAATGTATACAATATACATACAAATATAACATTTATTTGAAAGGCATAGGTTGGATTTAATAGATGTAACACAATATTAGATAAATCCCCATTTAAAACCAGTCATCTTTAAAATCAGGTAGATAAGTGTAAAACTTTTTCATATTTTAAAAAGCTATGATTAATTTTATTTTAATTTAGAATTATTTTTAAACAAATTTAAATGTAGTAATGCTATTTGTCAAAAATGCAAATGACTCAACACAAGTCTACATGTTAATAACATGAGCATTGTTAGTAAGCAAACTAGTCAGAGAGGTGATATTTTCCTTATACTATTAAAAAATTGTGTCAAGAAAATAAATAGCTATAATAAAAGCATTCTGTCAAATGGCTATACTTTTATAAAATCATATCAAAACATTGAATTTACTTCCTGATTTCTTTTAGCAGATAAATGCTACTCAAGTGAAAGAAGGCAATACCTCCCCCTCCTCTGGGGATGAGGGGTGAAAGGAATTTTTTGGAAATGTGTGAATTTTCGAGTTTATAATAATGACTGCAAAGAGGGAATAGAATTTCAACCCCAGAGGTCAAGAAAGCAAACTGTTTTCTATGACCCAGAAAATGTCTTCACAGCAAAGATGAATCATGTAACCAAAATGCCAATAGTGGCTTTGTTGATAACAAGTAAAATGAGCAAACAGAACTGTTAACTTTGTACTCAATTTGGATCACTGATAACGTCATGATTAATCAAAGGAAATGTATTTTATACGGCTCATGCCTGTAATCCCAGCACTTTGGGAGGCCGAGGCAAGCAGATCACTTGAGGTCGGGAGTTTGAGACCAGCCTGACCAACGTGGAGAAACCCCATCTGTACTAAAAATACAAAATCAGCCGGGCGTGGTGGCACATGCCTCTAATCCCAGCTGCTCGGGAGGCTGAGGCAGGAGAATAGCTTGAACCTGGGAGGCAGAGGTTGCAGTGAGCCGAGATCATGCCATCGCACTCCAGCCTGGGCAATGAGAGCAAAACTCCATCTCAAAATAAAATAAAATAAAATAAAAATAAATAAATAACCACGAAATAAGATATAATACCTTAGATTACAGAAAATCTAGATAATTCTGTATTATAATGCAGAAAAAATATGTTATGATACAAGTGTATTATAATTCTCTATTATTATAAAACAGCATTATCAAGGGAAAGAAGGGCATCTTGCCTTTCTATACCTAACTCCGTATTTAAAAAAAAATTATCAATGCAGTCCATGTTTTAAAGCTTTTTTGATTGTGGTAAAATGCACACATCAGAAAATGTGCTATTTAAAGTGCACAATTCAGTGGCAGTTAGCGAAGTACCTTACTCCTGGCTAAACCCCTACCTGTGATTTTTTTAGGCACAAGTACAGGCAACTACAAAGGTTTACCTGGCAGGCCTCAAGGAGAAAGGCTGCCTTCTCCACATCAGACTTGGTGCATGCACAACAAACACGCTGCAGTCTCTGAAGAAAACTGTACTCGAGGACTGAGGCTCCCCAGGCCAGCCATGTACTCAGGCATAGCTGCAATTCTAGCCCAGGTGCCACCATTCAGAGGCCTCTTTAAGGTCTTTATTGGACAAAAGCCTTTCTCAGATGTCTCTACTAAGATCTCACTATGGGGTGCGGGAGATTTGAAGACAGTGTTCCCCACTCTGACTGGGGACACAGCACTTTATCGTTCTTAGCCCTTCCCCCTCCCACTTCCTCTGGCCTCTAGTCCATAAAGCAGCTGGGGCCTTTTGTTTAAATTCCCTTGGCAGTGAAATGACCCCCAAGCCCGTGCTGATCCACCTAACCCTTTTATGACACCGTTACATGTGGAAAAATGGAACAGTGTGGGAGCTGGAACTTTCCCTGGGTTAGCCTCTTTCTTGCACTATTTCAGGAAAGGATTAACAGGCCTAGCTGTTAATTTCATTTTGACTTATCTAAATGGACAACTTTGACACATGACATGTCAGGTCTTTCAGGTACTGACCACAGGTTCTCAGGCCCTCAATGTAGTAGAAATAAATGTGAGGCAAAAAGAGTTTTTCCCAACAAGGCTTTATTGGGGTTGATGCCTGGGCAAAATGGAGGCAGCATAAAAGAGAGAGAATTCTCTGGCTGGCTCCCCATAGAGAGTGAGGACAGTAATTTTAAAGAGGTTAAAGCAAGAAAGGAGTGACGTTTAAGCATACAGAGGCAGGGAGTGACTGGTACCTGCCCACTTTGGTGACATGCTTCTTCGTGCATTGCATGTGAAATCTCCACCCCTAGGCATGATCGTTGGTAGTATAAGGAAGCTAAGGTAAAGGTTGATCATTCTGGTCTTGTACATATGGGGAAGATAGGGTTAACTCCCTTAAGTAAGTTTTATGGTGGAAGCTGTTTATTTTAGCTTCCTCAAAGTCTAGCAATCAGTGGGTATGTCACCTTAGGCAAGATTTAAGGTGTGGCTTCAGATGGTCTGACTGGGGACCCTGCTGGCCACGGGGCCCCTGCTCCCCACCAACTGTAGTAGATGCCCTCAGTGGAGTGCGAGGTGGTGGCGGCGAGTCTTGTCTCTATTCTCTCTCACCCCCAGCTGAGCTCCTGACATTGGTACATTCACAATATTGCACAACCATCACATTGTCTAGTTTCAGAACATTTTCATCACCCGAAAGAGAGATGATAATGGAATAAATATTTCTCAGCAGGTGGAGGGGTGGTTATCAGAAACTTCTAGCATTATATAACACACATTCATTTTCAATTAAGTGGATTGAATTTTTTTAGAGTTTTCATTAAGGGACACTAAAATATTGAGAGCTATGAATGGGAGTGAATTAAGGTCTTAGACTATAGCTGTGTTCAAGCATTTAAAGAAGTATCTGTCATTTAGTTACCATTTATCTATTCAAATCCAAAGGATAGATTAAAAAGTGGAGATTAGAAATTTCAAAGAAATATAAATAAGTGGAATTTGAGAATTTTTAAAAGCTTCTAATATTTTAAAAAATCTTTTAACAATGAAAAATAAACTTTTTCAATTAGAATTGTATGAAACTTTCTAAACTTGATGGAAAGTTGAATTACATGATACCAATTTTCATTTCCATAGGTAACTATTGCTGAGTTAATTTGCTTATCAAACAGAATTCAGAGGTAAAAATTAAAAACAATATCACTAAGATCAAAACTATTTTAGCATATTCCAAAATATTTTCATTTCAATGTTTTCTATCTGAATCCATTCTTCTGTAACTCAATTAGTCTGTGTCTTGACAGTAAACATAAACAGCAAGTATGTTAAAGAGAGGGAATTTAATACATAAGAGAGTTATGCAGATGATATTGAAAAATCTAAAATAGCAAGTAAAGGGTGATGAAATAATTCAAAGAATAATAACTGTAGGAAGCAGCTACCATTTATATAGCTGAGGAAACAATAAAGGGATGGATGATGTTACTAGAATAAAAGAAAGAGATGGTGTTACTAGAACAAAAGGGCTCAGATTTTGTTGATTTATATTATTCCAGCCTGCAGAATATGTGTGGGAATCAATTTTAAGGATGTGGTTTGAAAGAGTACAGAATGTATCATTGCACAGGGCCAAATGTGTTGATATAGCCGCACTTCTCAGAGACTCTTCATTTAATATGTTAAATCTGCTCTAATATTTTGTTAGCTTTGCTGACTGAAATCTGGGCTTAGCGGTTGCCAACATTCAGTGAGGCCGAAATATCAGAAATTCTCTAACATAATGTAGAGGGAAAAAATTCAAAAGCTTAGGAAAATAGGAATGTTGGAATGGATGTATCATATGCCATCTGCTTCCCCATTATATAGTATAAGAGGCCTGAGAGGATATCCCCTTCCCTAAGGCAGTGATAATACATGACCAGAATGGAGAGAGACACATCATTAAAATGCACTGTGGCAGCAGTCCTCCGTAGGCTGGGGAAGATGGTGGAAATGAATCATTCACTGAGATGGGCTTTCTTTTTACAGTGATGATGAAGGGTCCCAGAAGGGCGCAAGCCCAACCAAATATTTACATGTTAAAGCAGAAAGAAGGGGAATACGTTCTATAATAAACAGCATAACAGGAATAAACAAAGACATAACAGGAATTCTGTGACTCCCATGGATCTTTGACAGATGCTAATTAGTAACAGAATCCTCAGTTTGAGTAGAATGGCATTCAATTAAAGTATTACTTGATGTTTGTGACACAAACTCTGGATTTGGTGGACAGAAACCTTATTTATGGAAGCAATTGTCAGAGTCCCTTCAAAAATATAAATTATAGATCTTCCTCCAGTCTTCTCTAAAAAGACTTTCAGTCTTTTCTATGTTCACTGTGCATCACGGAAAGGGAAAATTTGGTAGATTTCCTGTTATTGATTCTGGTTTTGTGGCAGGCCAGGTCTCACTAACGCAGGCTTCCATAACAACTGTTTCAGTACTGAGCGGTTAAGTGAAATATTAAAGACTGAAAGAGCCAGTGTTCTTATACAAAGCCTGGAATGTAACAAAAGCCCACCAAGAGTTTTGCCTAGGCATTTCCTGGGCCTTAAAACATGACAAAATAACAAAGGAATTCTTAACAGGACCCATTTGGGATTAAACAACTTTTATTAGGGATCTGAAGAAAATCCCCAGGCCTCCACAAACAAGTGGAGGAATTCCCCAAACCTCCCTGATTTAGCAGGAGACAAGATAAAGGTAATCACCTCAGCACCTGGACCCATTTAGATTAAGTAAATTTACTGAGGCTCCAGAGGACGGTCTTGAGGACTCAGATCTTAGTTACAGATTAAAAGAAGTTAATCACTTATGTCTTTAGATGAATGCACACTTACACATAGACATATAGCTTAGAAGGTAGATAAACTCTGGAAGACTTTGTAATTTTGAGTTGGTCTGGTGATATTTTCCAGGTCTTTTATGTGTAACCAACCGATTACAGAAATAAAAACTCTCTTCCTCTCCAGTTCATCTGCATCTCATTATTGGGCCATGAAAGCATCAGTAACCAAAAATGGCATTAAGGGTCACTGGTCAAACTGGGGATTATGAGAGTCAGTCCAAATAAGTAGTCTTGATTCAAGTTCTTCTTCAACCAAGTTTATCTACATAAATATCTTATAGTGTGGACTTAGTTTCTAATATAATTATATTCAGTAACTGACAGAATACCCACATTCAGTTCTCTAACTGGCGAGGTGAATTATTATCGTAAGAATAACCACATGGAAGTCTATGAAAATGTTTCTCCCTATTTGTTTGTAATCCAAGAGCAATGCTACTTCCCTGTGAGTACTGCAGAGATTAGCGTCACTATAAAAGACTTCAAAGATGCAGAGCTAGTAGTTCCTATCACAATGTTATATAAATAACTCCTTTGTCCATGCTATACGTGAAAAGATCTTGAGAAGTTATTGTGAATTAACATAAACTTAATTGGGGAAGACATAAATTGCAGCTGCTTTTCCAGCTGTGGTAAATTAAGGAAACAAGTCCTTATATTCTCTGACACATGACATTTGGTTATTGATTTAGCAGATGGTTTTTTCTATACGAGGAGTGCCATGGGATGAAATGTGTTCCCCTGAAATTCCTGTGTTGAAGTACTAACCCACAATACCTCAGAATGTGATCTTTGTAAATGAGATCATTGAAGATGTAATTTGTTAACATGAGCTCACACAGGGGTTTGGCGGAATATAATTGAAATCCTTTATAAAAGGGGAAATTTGGACACAGATACACACACAGGGAGAACACCATGTGAAGACTGGAGATATGCTGCCATGAACCAAGGAACTATTAGAAGCCCCTAGTGCTTTCAAGGGGAGCACGGCCCTACCAACACACCTTAATCTCGGAGTTCTATGGAAAACTAACACAAGGGGTCAGAGATGTTTTATTTTGTTGCTGTTGTTTTTGTTTTTCTGTAAAGGGACATCTAGTAAATATTTTAAGCTTTCTAGGCCATTTCATCTCTAACACAAATACTTAGCTTTTGTATAGCACAAAATTGTGGCAGGAAAATAGAGTCCGGAGGGTGGGAACATAAAGCCAGTTTACACTTCAGCTATAACAGGAAATATCCTCTCCATAGGTCATGGGCCGTAAATGACTTTGTAACTTTACTTCAGTCTCTCCATTTACACAGGGTGTACCTGAAGTAACCAATGGAATCCTCTAGGGGGTATTTAAAGACTCAAAAAAATTCTGTAATGGGGCCTTAGAGCCCCTATGCTCTGCCTGCTCTCACACTGTGGAGTGTACTTTATTTTCAATAAATCCCTTAGTCCCTTCCTTGCTTTGTCTGTAAGTTTTGTCCAGTTCTTTGTTCAAGGCGCCAAGAACTGGACGCTCTCCACCATTAATAAAATTAGCCATAGGCAGTATGTAAAGAAATGAATATGACAGGATTCCAGTAAAATTTAAAAGCAAACACACAAGCAAAAAGACAGTGGGCTGAATGTGGTCTGTCTGGTTGCTCTGGTTTGCATATCCTTATTTTAGACCAATTGGCAGTGCAGTGCCAGCAACATGTTTGTTCTCACCTTGCAGCAACAAATGTGTATCTTCATAGTTTTGCCTCAGGGTCGTGCCAACTGTTCTGCCTTCTACCACATTTTAGTCAGTCTAGATCTTGATCATCTTGGCATCCCATGGAATAACTGACCCATTACATTTCTGACATCATATTAATTGGATCTAATGTGCAAATGTTGCAATTACCTGAGACCCTTTAGTGTGTTAGAGAGTGAGGAATAAAACCTGTTCCCTCTACCAAGTACTTTAGCAGTCAGGGTCCATTGAAGACTATTGAACCCACACTAACTATTTAAACAAAAAGAATTTCAAACAGGGAATTAGTTATACATGTAACAAAACTGGAAGTAAAAATAGGTGATGCTGAGATAACACAGATATTGCTTGCAGGAAGCAGTTCCCATATCTAGGCTGAGGGGAATATAAAAATGTGGTTTACAGTAATATGGGCCCTGTCTTCATTGATTTGGGCTGCTATAACAAATATGATAAACTGGACAGCTTGTAAAAGATAGAAATTGATTTCTCACGATTCTGGTGGCTGGGAAGTGAAAGATTAAGGTGCTGGCAGATTTGGTGTTTGGTGAAGGACACCGGAAGTTGTCATGCTGCTGCCTCCTCACTTGGCAGAATTGCCAAGGCAGCTCTTCAGGCCTCTTTTATAAGTGCACTAATCCCACTCATGAAGGTTCTCTACTCTCATGATCTAATCACCTCCCAAAGCCCCCACTTCCTAATAGCATCACATTAGGGATTAGGTTTCAACATATGAATTATGAGGGGACACAAACATTCAGACCATAGCATGATTGATTACAGGAACTGATCATTATGCTATGTGATCAGATGTCTGAGGGACATACCACATAGCTAGGGCTCAGACCTCTGGAAAATCACAGCACTATTGGTGCTTAGACCTAAGTTCTGGTACTTAGAACTACAAAACAATGTGGTTGGCTGGTGTAAATACATGGAATGGCTGTGGCTAGCAACGATAAAGGAAGCTGAAATCTGGGCTCTACAACTGGTATAATACTGACTTAGACTAGAGAAGCGAAGATTTTTCTCTTCCCCAAACTCAAATGTTTTCAACTGCCAGATTCATAGAAGAAGGCAGCTGGCAATGTGTTGCAAATTCAGCCCCAGAAACAGAAAGCCTCTAAAAGAAAGGCCTTAAGGCCAATAGAATATTGATAAAGAATAAGCAGGAAATATAATGAATTGCTCTTTTAGATATTTTAATTCAATTTCAAATGTTTATGTAAATGAAAGTTTTCTGGAATTAGAGAAAATATACCTCTTGATTACACTCTGGGTATGCATAATTTCCAGGGGGCAGAGTAGAACTGTAGAGGACAAATACTAAATATGTTTGTTTTTGTAGCTTGACAAAGCACAAAGAAGGGAACAATGTTCAGTCTGGCTTTCAGCTGTGATGGTGTATCATGAACAAGTAGGAAAACATTGCCAAGTGTAAAGGCATGGGAACGGTTTCTGTACTTATCCGCTTAGAACAGGCATATTAAAGAGATTTTCTATTAAATGTCATTATGCTTGAGAAACTACCAAAATAAGTCTTGTAGAGTAACACAACTCACTTTGTTATCCAACATCAAAGTGTAACTAAAATGACCCAACCAATGTTCAAAAAGGAAATAAAAATTTATCTATGTTGAGAAAACCATCCACAAATTTATAGTTTCTACAAAATTATATACTGTAATATGTTCAGTATAATTAGCAAATAACATCCAAAAATTTTATTGTCAATTAAAAGTAATACTAACAATATCAAAAACAAACCAGAATGGATAACATGCAATTTAAGAGACAGAGCAATGTGTAGAAATTTTAAAAAGGCTTATTTATTAGCAACAGAAACCAAATTATATATAATAAATGTAAATATAATTAAGATAATCAAGAATTATTTTACTAGTAGAACACTCAAAAGAGATAAACATTGTGAATGTAGTATTTTGGCAAGAATGTTATTTGCCTATCTCTCCCTATTTATGTTCCAAATGTGGTTTATAAACATACAGTAAGTTTTGTCAATTCATGCATTTATATTTTAAATTTGAGATATATGTTTTTCAACATGGATTCATGAAACAATTATACAGACAAGTATTGAACTCATATTAATAAATGAAAACTATATGCGTTTTATTATAGACCTAACTAAATGATAAATATACAGTGTACTGTGCAGAATAACATATCTAGAGTTAAAATTTTAAGTGTCTTAATGATATGAAATTTCATGTGCCAGTTTGAATTAGAAATTAGTTTTACTTCTATTCCTGACTCCTTTTTTATTTGTGCATCATGTAACATCTTTGGATTCTTCTCAGTGTCCCAAAGTCTTATTTTACCACATCCTTTTTTTATTGTGATGGCATTTTCTTTTTCTTGGCCCAGTTACTATCACTATTCTTAAATGTGCACTTATGTTCCACCTTAATACATTGTCTTATCAACCGTCCTTTCTTAAAAAGCCTTCAGGATATTTCTTAAAAATCCTTCAGAATATCCCTTCAGGATATTCTGCATATAGGACTGGTTGTTGCTTTTGCTTCTGCAACCTGCTTCTGCCTAGTATGACTCTGCTGTCCTCTAGGTGTATCTCTGCTGTCTCCAGAGTTGCAGATGGGGAGCACCTGGGCACTTTTCTATTGGGAAGTCACAATCTGATTAAAATAAGATCTGAACCTCAATTTCATACAGGACACAGAGAAAATAAGCATAAAAGAGATAGAGAAAAAGGGGGCAGCATGGACAACATCAAGGGCAAGGGGAAAACTTGAAGAACATGTTTCTATAGATGTGAAAAATATTAATTATAAAGAAATTGTATGGTTGATCAAGACAAAAGCTTCCAAATAAAATTCCTTTAGAATAAATTTAGTTCTTCACAAACAGGTACTTTGAATGTAACACATTAACTTAGAATGGTAACTTCTGGCTCATTTGCCAAAACGAATCAATATGTAGAAGTCAGTTTTCTTGCCCATGGTCAGGATCTGGTCTGCAGGTGCCTTTAGTGTGTCAAAAATAGTATTAAAATATGAGCATCACTGAAAATGTTAAAGTAAATTACAAAGTAATCTACATTTCCACTACTTTATTTACCATATGTTTACCTTCAATTTATAGAGTAATTGACTAGTAATCAGTTACCCAAATAAGAGTTAATTTTCTCCCACGAAAATGTTCATAGTGACAATATTGTTGCTATTGGTTTAGCTACTCAACAGTATTGATTCCAATGTCCCAAGATGGATATTGAAGCTCCAAATATCACATATTCTTTAAGTAAGGAAGAAGAACAAAGAAGATGCTAACCACATTAGTCATCTTTTATGAAGAGAACAAAAGCATTGTCATAGTCCTGAAACCCACTACAGCTGGTTTACTTTTTTGGTCCACAATTGATTCACATAGACATTCTTAGCTGAAAGGAAGATCAGAAATAATCACCAGAGTTAGGTATTTGCTGTCTTTCCAGAATATTTTTTTTTAACTCACAAAGAAAGAACAGATTTGGAGTAGGTAGCACACAATGTCAAACATACCCACATACATACTTTGTATGTACCACATACAAAGATAAGAAGAACTGAAACATAGGACCCCGTTTCTACATGGCATCAATTGGCTGTAGTTGGAAGCATATCCTTTCCACCAGATATCCCATTAATTTTATTGCTTGTGAGTCTCCTTTATGAATTTCTGATTATGATCCCTGTATTTCTTTTTTTTTTTTTAACTTTTAACTAAAAAGTAAACTTTAATGTCGAAAATGCAAACTTGGGGAAGACAGAAAAGATCACACACAAGGCTGTCTCTTCACACTTAGAAGGTTGCACAGCGGCCGGGCAGAGGCGCTCCTCACCTCCCAGATGGTGGGCAGCCGAGCAGAGGCGCTCCGCACTTCCCAGTTTGGCAGCCGGGCAGAGGCGCTCCTCACTTACCAGACGGTGGGGAGCCGATCCCCTTATTTCTGTATGTATTAGTCTGTTTTCACAGTGCTATAAAGAAATACCCAAGACCGGGTAATTAATAAAGAAAAGAAGTTTAATTGACTCACAGTTCCACATGGCTGGAGAGGCCTCAGGAAACTTACAATCATGGTACAAGGTGAAGCAATGACCTTCTTCACATGGCAGCAAGAGAGAGAAGTGCAAAGAGGGGAAGTGCCAGACACTTATAAAACCATCAGATCTCAGGAGAACTCACTTACTATCATGAGGAGAGCATGGGAAAAACCAACCCTATGATCCAATCACCTCCCATCAAGTCTCTCCCTAGACATGTAGGCATTATGGGGATTACAATTCAAGATGAAAGATTTGGATGGGGAAACAGCCAAATCGTATCTCTGTAGTAAGAAAGGACTTGACTATTTATCTTAGAGCATAAAATGGCTCTATTTAATGACTAAGCCATTCTTTAAGGCAAACAGTTTCTCCATTTTTTCAGTCTCTCTTTACACTTTGCTTAATTTCCTGGTTTTTCTCAGATTTCTTTCTTTTTATTGCCTTCTTTTTTTTTTTTTTTTTTTTTTTTTTTTTGCTTCTATCTCCTTTCTCTACTTTTTCTCTTCTCCAAATTCTGCTTTTGGTTGTGATCAGATACATTTAATAACACATTTTTTTGTTTCCAATCCCCTGCGTTATCTTTTCATTGAAATATTCTCTCTTCTCCTCTCCCCTTCTCTCATACCACGTTTTGTGCTCCCAACTCATTTCATTTTGTTTTTCACTCTCACCTTCCATTGTGCTCTTTCTGTTTACATGCTATATTTCACTGTTTTCCTCATTGTTTTTATAGCTCGTTTGTTTTCTGCTTTGTAGCTGATTGTTTTCCTCCTCTATTTCAAGGTCATAGGCCTCAGTCTCTCATAATTTTCTCTATTGAATTATTGCTTTTACTTCTAGCAGAAATTCACGTAAATTTGAGTGTGATGTGAGATTTTCCAATAGTTAAACACATTCTTTTACTAGTAGAAGATTAACCAAATTATTCCTAATTATGTAAGCATCCAATGCACATAAAACTGAGTTTGAACACTTCCTTAAGGAAAAAGAATATGATCTCATCAGTTTCAGTAGGGTTATATAAAGTACTTTGCATCAAGTGCAGACTTTCTTATGTCATAGAAAAAGTCTTAAGAAAGTAAGCTGAGAACTATAATGGCAAGATAAACAAAGAAACTGAGAGAGGACATAGATGGATGGTAGAATGATTAATGCTGTATCTACTCAGTACAGGTGTTTGGTACTTAAGCAAGTGGTTAGAAAACAAATTGAACATTTATTCTTCCTGACAAAGGGATTAAGAAATGTGGTTGATTATACCTTTATAAATGAAGCTTTGAGTAAACTACTGTCTTGATTGATTTCTTTGGTATTTGCTAACACTGCAATTGAACATTCTGTTGGGAATTCTTTTGTTTGTGTTTGCTTCCTGAAGATGTGAATTAACTTTTAATTAATGGGATTAATAAAGACATTATGAAACAGCAGTGATTGGTTTATTAATAACTATACTGGATCTAACCAAATACAAAACATTTCAAAGGCATACGACTTTCTCAACATTAAAATGACAAAGCTTAGAGAACATTTCACTAGCACTTGATGGTGAAAATAATCTTACAGTGGAATTTAATAATGAGTCCACCACCCTACTGTTTATTTGAAAGCAAAGAGCCAGGTTTTTTTATTCCAATTTATTCAAACTAGATTTCATCACCCATCAAGCATTTTGAGCACTTTCTACTTACCAGGCACTGTAAGGATACAAAGTTGAATACAACAGCAGGGGCGGTTAATACATTTGAAGATCTGGCAAGGTGGTATTAAAAGCCATGATGAGGATTATAAACAAAGCAAAATGATGCTCTGAAATGAAATCATTTGAGTGGTGGGAGCTTCTCTTGGACACATTGGTCAGAGAAAGCCACTCTGAAAAGTTGCTACTTAAAAATGAGACCTGAAAGGTGACAAATGGCCAGCCATGTAAGGAATGAGCAGAAGAGCATTTGAGACAAGGGATCCCAAGCAGGTCAAATCACCTTAGGTAGAAATCAATTGGTTTGTCAATAATCAGAAAGAATTACCAGTATAGTAGTAGGATATTGTGACCGTTGGACTTTGGCAGCTAGGTCAGTTAAGAAGTTTATATATATTGTTCTAAGTGCAGTGGGAAACAGACTATTAATGTGGCTTTCAGTTCCGTAATTTGTAATGAAATATATATTTGTTGTGAACTTTTAACACTTATAAAACCATTTGTTATAAACAAATGCAACTATATGTTAAAGAGGGAAGTATAATAAGCCCTCATACATCTGTCACTGAGATTATACTACTAATGTTTTTATAAGTGTTCTTACCCTTTCAAGTGATTTATCTCCACACTCAAAGGGCTATCACATGCCATTTTTACATACCTAATTGTTGGAAAGAAGTATATATGTCTTTTCTCTAACACATACCTCTTGAGAGACTGCAATAAATGATATATTCATTTTTTGTAGATGTAACTGTATAAGGTGGATGTTACTGAGCAAACAACGGGCTCGCTGCTGTGCCACACACAGAGGTCAATACAATGGCACTGGCATTTGAGAAAAGAAAGGTTTTATTGCAAGTCACCTGGCAAGGAAATAGGAAGAAAAATCTATCTCCCTGCGCTGGGGTCTGGGGGGCAGGTTGGATAGGCAGAGGATAGTTATTGGGAAGATAGGAAGATATGATGAGGTGTGATCTGATTGGATCATGCAGAGATGGAGTAATGGGTTCTTGTCTCTTAAGTCCATACTGCAGCAAAACAAAGTCACCTTGTTTTCATTATGAGTCTTACATGTTCTCACTTAGGAGGAAGAGCTCAATGATGAGAACACATGGACACATAGAGGGGAACAACACACACTGGTGCCTTTCAGAGGTGGGAGGGTGGGAGGAGGGAGAGGACCAGAAAAATAACGAATGGGTACTAGGCTTAAACCTGGGTGATGAAATAATCTGTACAACAAACCCCCATGACACAAGTTTACCTATGTAACAATCCTGTGTTTGAACAACTGAACTTAAATAAAAGTTAAAAATAAAGACAACAAAGTGATTTTAAATATCTCACATTCAGAAACAAAAACTTACAAGTATTGTGGAAAGATACCTTGCTGGGATTTATTAAATATTAAATTCTTCTTAACTAGCGAGTACCCATTCCTATAGTCTTTATCAACAAAAGACTGAGGCAAGAGAAGGAATCAGTGACCATGAACCACCAACAGAGGGTTTGAGTGTTTCTCTCCACACACACATCTTGCAAATCGAATGAAGAGTCAGGGTAGGAGCAGCATCAACCAAACATTTTAGAAATTGAGGACTTTGCTGGGGCAGACAATCTCAGAAACAAGAGGGTTTGGAGTGACCACTTTCTACAGCTTGTCAGAGGTGTAATCAGGCAAAATGGCCTTCCTTAGCAAACTCCTCCATCTCACCACAGGACCCCCGAAATACTTACACTTTTGCACCACCAGAGTGCCAGTGTTTAGATGCCATTCATAGCAGCCGGTTGCTGTGAAATCAGGAAACATAGTGAACCAAGAGTAATTAATGATATTCCCTCAGAAGAGTACCTTTCACATTTCTTTTCTCTCTTTCCTACCTAACATGACAAAAAAAAACAAAAAACAAAACAAAAAAGAAAACAGATTTGGAGTGAAACTGAATAACAGAGAATATTTTAATATACGCAACTAGTCAGAAAGTTGTAAGATCTTCTGCCATGTCATTTTATCACTCAGGAGCCTAAAACAAAATTGATGTTATATGCAATTTAGTATGATTTCAGGAGAATTAAATAAATGGGCTATTAACAAGCGTGTGGATAGGTCATCAAAAGACACAGGATAGTGCAGTAGCCAGAGTTAACAACAGCAGGACTGCAGCTTCCTTAAACCTGAAGGAGAGAATGGTTACTGGATCTCAAAGGAGAGTCATATGGCCAAACCATAATAAGAGGACCTGTGACCTTCAGTCACAGGTGAGCTGGAAAATAAATGTGCTGACCTAATTCTCCTCCTCTGATCTCCTGCCTGGCTTCGCATTAGCCAGTCGGACTGGAAGCCAGAGGTTAAGAGATATCTCTATTTATTCCATACAGGTCAACTCCCTAGGGAAGAGATCAGTGTGGGGAAAGGGTGGGAAGTGCATTTGGAGAGACAAGAACATTTCTGGTACATTATTAAAGAAAAGGAATTGAATACTCAGCAAAGCATAGCTGAAGTAAGTAGAAAAAAGTATTAAGTTTTAACCCACGAAGGTCAGACTATAAATTAAACTAATATCTAGACTTCTCAGAAACATGGCTCTTGAAATTTACTGCTAAGAATTTAATATAGTTATAGTTTCTAGAATGTCTTTCTCATTTTTTAGATTAGATTTAGAAAAGAAATAATTAGGTATTCTTAGAGTAAGAAGAAAAAATAATTCAGTCAAATGAAGAAATCTAAATTTCTATCTTCAAGACAAGCTTTGCTGTAGAGTTCTTAGAGAAACAGTAAGAGACGTGTAATAGTAATAGAAGTGAAATTGCCTTTGTCATCAAAGAGAACTGAGTTTGGTTCTTGGCTCTGTAATTTAATAGCTGAGCATTATTAAAGTCACTTGTTCTTTTGGAGCCTTGATTCCTTCCTCCATTAGATATTATTATCCATCTACAAGTCGGCTGTAAAGATTAAATGAGACATAATAACAGTAAGTATATTATCATTTTGACTAGCCCATGGCTCACCTTTAATATTCATTTAAAGAAGTTAAGTAATTTTTTAAAAGGGGGAAGAAAAAGAAAGTTGGTGTATCAGAGTAACATGAACACATCGTAATTGAATACTTCCAATTGTTTTGTATTTTTAAGAGAATTTAAACATTTTGGTCTGACAAAGACAAGTGAATCACTATCTACAAATAGGCTTAGACATTTTGAGAAGGGATTTATTGTTCTAGGATTATGATTTCCAAAAATTAGCTGTGACTAATTAAGGCTATTGTTTTCTAAGATCCCTGCATATTTTGTCATTAAGAGAAAACAAACTGATTATCCAAACAGTCATCCTGAGTGACAAAGTCAGGGAAAATTTGGGAATTGGGCAAAGGGCTCGAATCAAGATACAATTTCTGACAATGAGAATGAATCTTCTGAAGTAAAATTACCTAGGCAAGGTGGAGCACAAAGCGCTGGTGGCCTGCCTTAAAATAACCAGAGCTAAGCATCCTTGAAAAAGATTTGCTTTTCAGGAGGTATCGATTGATGCTTAAAGCTCTGTGCTTGACTTGTACTCCAACAAAAGCTTCATGCTGTTACCAAAGTCATATATGCAAAATGCAAATTAGGTTACAGATTAAATATTTCTATTCATTTCAAAAATATGTAGGACATGATTCAAATGTCTTCTTTAGAAATAAAAGTACTACCATCTTCTTAATCATATGTACACTGCTCTTAAGGCATGCCAAAATAATTGTTAGTTCCCTGGATCTATCATATTCCTTCTCACTTCTGCCTCTTGACCTTTTTCCTCTGTTTGCAATTTCATATCTTTTCTTACCACCTCTCCTGCCAGGGCTAGTTCCTATTTTTTTGTTTATGACTTAGCCCAAGACTTGGCTTTGCTGAACCTCCATCTGAATTAAGTGCGCCAGCCCTTAGCAGAACATTGCGCTATACATTTATCTCTCATAACTTTTACCATACTATAATATTACTATTAGATTCCTAACTAAACAGTAGTTTACCTGCTACATAATATTTTTTCCCTAAATAAATGCATGAATGGCTGAAAGAATGGATAAACATTAGAGGCCTGATAATATCCTGCCATTAATGAAGGCATCAATAGAGGTTTGGTTAAGGGGTAGATAGAATGAATAAGTTCTAGCATTTGATAGTACAGTGAGAAAATTATAATTAACAATTGTTAATTTATTGTATGTTTCAAAATAGTTAGAAGAGAAGAATTGTAATATTCCCAATGCAAAGAAAAGATGCCTGAGTAAATTCATATCCAAATTACTCTGATTTGATTATTACACATTGTATACAGGTATCAAAATACCCCATGCACCCCCAAAATATGTATAATAATTATATATCATTTTTTTAAAAGACATGGTTAACCTTGACTTGATGTCCAAAAAATGTGACTTAAGGTCTTTCAAGCTGCTTAGTAAAGTTCATATTCTCTTTACTTGTGTTATTTCCTATTCTACTATAATGTATTTTAATTATTTTTAATACACATTCAAATTTAACTTTTTATTGAATCTAGATTTTATTGAATCTTTTAGAGGAAAAAATTCACAATTTTTTCTCTAAAAGAAAAATATTAGCTGATTTAGCAAGCTTTATGATTTCATCAGCCCTATGTTGCCTTCACCAAGTATGGAACACTTGGTTAAAAATAAATGCTTAGGAGCAGGCCAGGCACAGTGGCTCACGCCTGTAATCCCAGCACTTTGGGAGGCCAAGGCAGGTAGATCACCTGAGGTTGGGAGTTCGAGACCAGCCTGACCAACATGGAGAAACCCTGCCTCCACTAAAAATACAAAATTAGCGGGCATGGTGGTGCATGCCTGTAATCCCAGCTACTCGGGAGGCTGAGTCAGGAGAATCAATTGAACCCGGGAGGTGGAGGTTGTGGTGAGCCAAGATCACACCATTGCACTCCAGCCTGGGCAACAAGAGTGAAACTCCATCTCAGAAATAAATAAGTTAATTAATTAAATTAATGCTTAGGTATTAATGAATAAGTTAATGCTGACTCAGATTCTTCCTTTCTTAAGTACATGTTAGATAGGTGCAACACTAGGAGAAACTTGAGATTCTAATGTTGTTTGACATTAACTAAGGAGGTTTATCCTTCATATCATTCATGAAGATGTGAATTAATTTCTAATTAATGGGGGGACTAACAAAAATATTACAGAACAGTGTGATGGTGTTATTAACTACACTGGATCTAAACAAACACAAAATATACTGTTTCATAATATCAACTGTGTTTATAGTTGCTCTATTTTGGTACAAATATAAGAGATATGTTGGTATAATAATTATAGTGTATGCATTATGGTTTTCAATTATTTACTTGAAATTATTCATTTGTATTATGTTTTTCAATGATTTACTTTTTATTATAGTGAGTATTGTGGTACAAATATTATGCTTTATCATTTATTTTTTAGATAAATATTTATGCAGTATTTAAATCATTTTATTTATATAAAAATGCTATTTGTTTACTACAGCTTGTAAAGAAGCACATTCCCACCAATAAAAAATTATTTAGATGAAATAAACCTGAGGTATTTCTTGAAGCATTCCATAAAAATTGTTGCCACATGTATATAATGAATGGTGACACAATAAGAATAGGTATAAAATCACTAATCTGAGAATTGGCTACTAGGTAATCAAAAGATTGGAAATGAAAGTGTACTGAACTAAGGTGGAATTCTTAGGAGATGCTATTCTATGAATGTAGTTTATGGGGAGACTGTGTGACTTGAAGAGGCAAGATTCCCCTTCACAGGCTTGGTAGTGAAGGGAAAGAAGAGATGGAGGGTAATGTTCTTTCAGACATAAAAAAGATGCACAAAATTAGAAAACGTATCACCACCTTCCCCATTCTCCCCCCAAAAAACACTACCTAAAAAAATTAGATTCCATTGTATATCTACTAAAATGGGCAGTTGAACTAAGCAAGCTAGTAAGATACCTTAAGCCTTCATCCTATCTGCGTTGAAATGTTACTGCTGATTCACAAAAATAATATGTTACAAAATAAATAGACAATAGAAGAAAACATTCATAAACCACTACTATAAGAAAAATGACAATGAGAACTCAATTTTATTAAGAAAATCTCCTCCAAACCATAAAGCAAAAACAAAACAAAACAACAATAACAACAACAAAACTCTTATTCAAATTACGTATCATTAAACAAAACTTCTTGGTTATGAAATAACTCCTCCAATCACAATTAAGATTGATGGACAGACTAAAGAAATAAATCTTAGTGAAAAAGTTCATGCCGCCAAGGGTTCATTCCATTCAATTAAAATAAAGATTTAATTTGCTTGAAAAGTTTTTATAATTACACTAATCCGAAGTCAGCATGGGGTCATTGAATCTAACATTAATGTTTAAGTTATGCTGTTATATCAACTTCATTTCCTTCAGCACACAATGATACCAATTTGACTTTTAAAATGTGTCCTAAGAATTATAAAATCAAGTTGTTCATGTATTAGAATGGAATTACCACCCACTACCTTAAAATGAACAAAAATTAATAGATTTAGCGAGAAAATGGTTACGAAGAAGGGTGCTTTCTTTGAGAGATCAAGGGCCAGAGGCAACAGAAATGTTATTTTGATCTTACATTATTTAAGACACACATGGATGAATTTATAAATGGGATACTTTAATCTTTACCAAAGATATGGCAGAGTAGTCCTAAAATATTTTCCTCACACAAATATTAACAATGATTGACACAACTGATAATAAGACTACATCATTCATATCCTGTGGTGACCTTTTGCTTCAAATATAAAAAAAAAGCACCATGAAAACACTATATCTTATCACACTCATTTGCCCAATCATGTTTATGTCAATAAATCAAGAGTTTGGATAGGTTTTCCAATAACTCAAAATGCCAGAGATTGAGTGAATGTATTAATCTTTTAGAGAAACAGTTTGCCTTGAGAAAGTACTGGCTCTGAAATTATTCCTTGATGATTAGACTGGCTGATAAGAAAGTCTAATTAGGGTAAAACAGGGGTATCATTACTTCCTGGAAAAGAAATGATAGAATGTCAAAACTCAGAACAACACAGAAAAAACTCAGAAACTCAGAATATTATGACTCAGAAAATAGGCTTCCACTATGATTTCCAAATAAACAATTTTGGAATCAATAGTTTTTGGAGGCAGGTTACAGAAATTGGTCTTACCATATTGGCAGGTAAGATGAAATAAGGAGGAGAATAAAATGAACTGTTTAGAAAATAGTGTATTATTTAGAGAATAAGATAGTATTTGTTTTTAATTATATTCAAGACATGCACACACAAAGAAACAAGCTCAACATATAATGATTTGAGAATATAATTTTCACTCTAATAATATTCAGAAATATGTGATACCATTCTGAAGCTTTTGCCTATCATTTCACAGGGCTGGGTACATTCTTTGAGGCATTAGTTAATGAAGTGGCCCCAAGTTGCTGGAGAGAGTCGGTCTTCTTCCCCCTTCCTTCTGGAGGAAATAAAAGTGTTTAAGGCTTTTTAAAAATCAGGGAGGACATATTTCATGAGTTTTCTCATAGAAAAAAAGACCTTACAAAATCATAACAATGTTTTATATTTGGAATGATTTTCTTTTAACAACATTCTGTCAACTCTAAATATGTCTATTCTATTATTAGTGTCAACTTTTCAATAGGGACATTTTCAATTATCCTAATTCCCTTTTCAGATAAATGAGATCTATTTTTAAAGAACAGATGTATAGACTTTTTAATATTTTGTATTGTCCGTGCTTTGTTAATTAATTCATTCAACTTGGTTTAGTGACTCTTTAAAAGAAGTAAAAGCCGATTGTCATCCTATTAATAGGCAAAGTCATTCTTGACTAGAAAAATCAGTCCAAAGCACGCACTCCATAATTAATACAGTCTATGTTTAAATAAACATGACAATTTTGTCAACTTTAAAAACATAAAAACAAATTTTATGCATATTTAATCTTATCAATAATCTTTCTACTTTTAGACAATGTGATTAATATAGGATTTAAGAAGGCAAAATAGTGCATAATTCCTATTTTATCATTAGGTTTCCCTCAGGATTAGAATTGGGCAAATTTAAAGGTCTTACTAATCTGTTAATAATTATTAAAATATGTTCTTATTTTTTAGGAGTAAACTCAGGGAAAAGACAACACTTCAAAGTTAGATTTACTTGTTTTATTTGATTAACCTTGTTAAATGATTTATTTTTCTTAGAATTATTCAATGTTTATAACTTTCTGCTTACATGTTATACTTTTAATAGACATTAAAAAATTATTTTTTAATTAACAGACATTTTTAAAGTACTGAAAAAACACAGATTATACTTAACCAATTATGTTGCAATGATTAAACATATTGATTTGACCAAAATGGTAACTAACCTGTTTATTTCTAAATTACAATCACAACATTCAAACATTATCATTATTTAGGTTAATTTTTTATCTCCTGAAAATTGACGACCAATTTAACTTATTATATTATTACTATTTTAAAAGTTTGAATTGCTTTTTACATTATAATTATATGGCTTCTACAACTTTTCTTTTGAATCCCCCTATAGTAAAATGAACTAATGAGCATTTAAACATGTATGCAAACATAAAAATACATATACATAAAATACATACATACATATACATAATATACATAAAAATGCATATAAACATGTAGATAATGTATGTGTCTATATACACTCATACATACATATATACACAAATAAGTACATGCACATACATGCGTATATTATTATTTTATATAATAATGTGTGTATTATTTATATACATTTATGTGCATTACTTATTTTATATGCATTTATATATACATGTACATATATATGTATACTCACATTTATCCAAAGAAGAATGAGAACATTTAAAATTTATATAAAGTAAAAGGCAAAACAGTACAGAAACCATAAAAAAAGAGATAATGGGAAAAAACTTTCAAGTATTTGTATTGATTTGAGTAGACCATAAAATTCATCTAAATATATTTTGTTTTATTATTTTTGGAGTTATGGAAATAAGTTAATATTTGAACTTCTTTGAAGTCATTCCTTATAAAAACAATTCAGAAGTTACTATCACTGGCAACACTGAGATTATCTTGGTAACTGATCATTAGGTAAGTGTCAGTAATAATTCTAAGTAAATATCTTGGTCTCTTAGGGCAGAATTTCTTTCTGTTCTTATATTCTTTTGTTTTTTGCACCTAGCACTGATACTGGGATAGGCTGGGAGTAGGGGTGGGGGCAGATTACTAAACATCCAGAAGCTGGATGGCAGAAGCCTTGCTTTAAAAACTTGTCTTATGAAATACACAGGCAGAAAGCAAATAAAGCATGGCATTACAAAAAATAATGAATCAGGGAGTTTCAACAAATTGGTCAGCAATTGTTAACAAACTTGGTTTGTGTTTTTATAATTAAAAAACGTTCTTTACCAAATGTTGAATTCAGTCATTTTCTTAGAACCTCTTTATATGATCACTTTCATTGTTGTAAAAATGTTAAAAAAAGACGGAAGGTAAATCTGTCATTTGTCTCCTTTATAAATTTCCCATTAAATATGGTCTTTTGTTTATCAAATTTTTCTAATCTCATCCCTGAAATTTGTTTGGTGCAAACTCCAATTTTTCCTATTATATTTATACACTCCAAACACTTGCCTATTAGTCATCATGGTTCATTGCTTTTACTTTGCATGCAGAGAATTATATTTAAAATCATTTTGACTGATGATATACAATCAATTCTCTGAAGAATAAACCACGATATTGAGTTCATACTCGTCAAGTATAAATAACATGTCGTTTTGATTAATGCTTTTTCTATAATTATTTCCTAATTAACTTGCTATATAAATGATGTTAGTTTTGCAAATCATATGAAACATTTTATAATAAATGTGTACTCCCAGATGAGTTTATTCAATTGAAACATTTCCCTAAAAGGTCAACCTATTGGAATTATATTGTTCCTATAGATTAATATCAGCTTTTAAAAGCAATTACCATTAAAATATAATTGTAAGATCTAACTATGGATCTAACTTTGCCACTTATATTACTTTAAAAAACAATGTTCTACTTCTGTTTAAATAAATTATAATTTAATACAACAAAATAGATAGTAATTATAATAAATTCATATAAAATTACACGAGTTTTGGTTAAAAACCATAATACAGTTTAAGATATTTAAGTTGCTTATGATAATTACTCTATTATGCAAGAGGTTATAATTATAAAAGCTCAGAAGTAGAAATTTATATATTATGAGTAATATACCATGTGTACATATATATGCAATACTCATTTAATATATAACTTGAAGTGTCTACTATATTCCACGAACTACTTTAATTAGTGAGAATATATCTGTAAACAAATCAGACAAAACCAATTGCCTTCTTTAAATTCTAATGAAGCATTTTTCTGATTATAAACTAAATTTCCCAATGCAAATAGAAAATGAACAAATTTATAATATATATAATTTCAGTTTAACATTGATA